>NC_000005.10:46796825-47032722 GCF_000001405.40 Homo sapiens
AGCATTCTCAGAAACTGCTCTGTGATGTGTGCATTCAACTCACAGAGTTGAACCTTCCTTTTGCGAGAGCTGTTTTGAAGCAGTCTTTTTGTGGTATCTGCAATTGGATATTTGGATCGATTTGAGGCCTAAGATGGAAAAGGAAATATCTCCACATACAAACTAGACAGAAGCATTCTCAGACACTGCGTTGTGATGTGTGCATTCAACTCACAGAGTTGAACCTTCCTTTTGAGAGCAGTTTTGAAACAGTCTTTTTGAAGTATCTGCAAGTGGATGTTTGGAGAGATTTGAGGCCTAAGATGGAAAAGGATATATCTTCACCTAAAAACTAGGCAGAAGCATTCTCAGAAACTGCTTTGTGATGTGGGGATTCAACTCACAGGCTTGAAACTTTCTTTTGATACAGCAGGGTTCAAACACACTTTTTGTAGAATCTGCAAGTGTTCATTTGGAGTGCTTTCTTGCCCATGGTGGAAAAAGAAATATCTTCACCTGAAAACTAGACAGAAACTTTCTCAGAAAATACTTTGTGATGTAGTTGTTCAATTCACAGGGTTGAACCTTTCTTTAGATAAAGCAGTTTTGAAACACTGCTTTTGTAGAATCTTCTTGTAGATATTTGGAGCTGTTTGAGGAATTCGTTTTAAACAGGATATCTTCACATTCAAACTAGTCAGAAGCATTCTCAGAAACTGGTTTGTGATGTGTGCATTCTACTCAGAGAGATGAACCTTCCTTTTGAGAGAGCAGTTTTGAAACAATCTTTTTGTATTCTCTACAAGTGGAAACTTGGAGCAATGGGAGGACTAAGATTGAAGAGGAAATATCTTCACAGCCAAACTTGACAGTAGCTTTCTCAGAATCTACTTTGTGATGTGTGCATTCACCTCACAGAGTGGAACCGTCCTTTTGATAGAGCAGTTCTGAAACAGTCTTTTTGTAGGATCTGCGAGTGTTCATTTTAGAGCGCTTTTAAGCGTTTGGCGGAAAAGGAAATATCTTCACAAAAAACTAGACAGAGGCATGCTCAGGAACTTCACTGAGATGTGTGCATTCAAGTAACTGAGTTGAATCTGCCTTTTGATAGAGCAGAATTGAAACACTCCTTTTGTAGAATCTGCTTGTGGATATTTGGAGCTCTTTGAGGAATTCGTTGTAAACGGGATATCTTCACATACAAACTAGACAGAAGCATTCTCAAAAAGTTCTTTGAGATGTGTGCCTTCAACTCACAGACTTCAAACATTCTTTTGAGAGATCAGTGTTGGAACACGCTTTTTGTAGAATCTGCAAGGGTTCATTTAGTGCGCTTTGTTGCCTATAGTGGAAAAAGAAATATCTTCAAATGAAAACTAGACAGAAACATTCTCAGAAACTCCTTTGTGAAGTGTGTGTCAAATTCACAGAATTGAAATTTTCTTATGATAGAGCAGTTTTGAAACACCGCATTTATAGGATCTGCTTGTGGATATTTGGAGCTCTTTGAGTATTTCGTTGTAAACGGGATATCTTCACATACAAACTAGACAGAAGCATTCACAGAAACTGCTTAGTGATGTGTGCATTCAACTCACAGACTTGAACCTTTCTCTTGAAAGAGCAGTGTTGAAACAAACATTTTGTAGGATGTGCAAGTGTTCACTTGGAGCGTTTTTTTGCCTATGGTGGAAAAAGAAATATCTTCACATAAATACTAGACAGAAGCATTCTCAGAAACTCCTTTTTGATGTGTTTGTTCTATTCAGAGAGTTGAACCTTTCTTTTGATAGAGCAGTTTTGATACACTGCTTCTGTAGAATCTGCTTGTGGATATTTGGAGCTCTTTGAGGAATTCGTTGTAAACGGGATATCTTCGCATACAAACTAGACAGCAGCATTCTCAGAAACTGCTTAGTGATGTGTGCATTCAACTCACAGACTTGAACCTTTCTCTTGAAAGAGCAGTGTTGAAACACACATTTTGTAGGATGTGCAAGTGTTCACTTGGAGCGTTTTTTTGCCTATGGTGGATAAAGAAATATCTTCACATACAAACTAGACAGAAGCAATCTCATTTACTGCTTTGTGATGTGTGCATTCAGCTCACAGAGTTGAACCTTCCTTTTGAGAGAGCAGTTTTGAAACAGTTTTTTGTAGTATCCTCAAGTGGATATATGGAGCGATGTGAGGCTTAACATGGAAACGGGAATATCTTCACATAGAAACTAGATAGAAGCATTCTCAGAAACTCCTTTGTGATGGGTGCATTCAACACAGAGACTTGAACATTTCTTTAGACGGAGCAGTGTTGAAACACACATTTGTAGAATCTGCAAGTGTTCATTTGGAGCGCTTTGATGCCTATGGTGGAAAAAGAAATATCTTCACATAAAGACTAGAAAGAAGTGTTCTCCGAAACTCCTTTGTGATATGTGTGTTCAATGCACAGAGATGAACCTTTCTTTTGATTGAGCAGTTTTGAAACACTGCTTTTCTAGAATCTGCTTGTGGATATTTGGAGCTCTTTGAGGAATTCGCTGTCAATGGGATATCTTCACATACAAACTAGCCAGAAGCATTCTCAGAAACTGCTTTGTGATGTGTGCATTCAACACACGGAGTTGAACCTTCCTTGTGAGAGAAGAGTTTTCAAACAGTCTTTTTGTAGTACCTGCAAGTCGATATTTGGAACGATTTGAGGCCTATGAGGGAAAAGGAACTATTTTCACATACAAACTAGACAGAAGCATGCTCAGAAACTGCTTTGTGATGTGCGCATTCAACTCACAGAGTTGAACCTTCCTTTTGAGAGAGAGGTTTTGAAACAGTCTTTTTGTAGCATATACAAGTGGATATTTTTAGTGATTTGAGGTCTAATATGGAAAAGGAAATACCTTCACCTACAAACTAGACAGAAGCATTCTCAGAAACTGCTTTGTGATGTGTGCATTAAATGTACAGACTTGAAACCTTATTTTGATAGAGCAGTGTTGAAACACACTTTTTATAGAATCTGCAAGTGTTCATTTTGAGAGCTTTGTTGCCTGTGGTGGAAAAAGAAATGTGTTCACATACAAACTAGAAAGAAGCCTTCTCAGAAACTCCTTTGAGATGTTTGTGTCCAATTCACAAAGTTGAACCTTTCTATTGATACAGCAGATTTGAAACTCTGCTTTTGTAGAATCTGCTTGTGAATATTTGGAGGTATTTGAGGAATTGGACGTATACGGGATATCTTCACATACAAATTACACAGAAGCATTGTCAGAAACTGCTTTGTGCTGTGTGCATTCAACTCACAGAGTTGAAACTTTCTTTTGAGAAAGCAGTTCCGAAACAGTCTTTTTGTAGTATCTGCAAGTGGATATTTGGAGCGATTTGAGGCCTATGATGGAAAAGGAAATATGTTCACATACAAACTAGACAGAAGCGTTCTCAGAAACTGCTTTGTGATGTGTGCATTCACCTCACAGAGTGGAACCGTTCTTTGGATAGAGCAGTTTTGAAACAGTCTTTCTCTAGTATCTGCAAGTGTTCATTTTGAGCGCTTTTAGGCCCATGATGGAATAGGAAATATTTTCACATAAAAAGTAGACAGAAGCTTTCTCAGGAACTTCATTGAGATGTGTGCATTAAAGTAACTGAGTTGAATACGTCTTTTGATAGAGCAGTATTGAAACACTTATTTGTAGAATCTGCCTGTGGATATCTGGAACTCTTTGAAGAATTCTTTGGAAACGGCTATCTTCACATAAAAAGTAGACCCAAGCATTCTCAGAAAGTTCTTTGTGATATGTACATTGGACTCCCAGACTTGAACATTTCTTTTGATAGAGCAGTGTTGGAACACACTTTTTGTAGAATCTTCATGTGTTCGTTTGGAGTGCTTTGTTGCCTATGGTGGAAAAAGGAATATCTTCACCTAAAAACCAGACAGAAGCATTCTCCGAGACTGCTTTGTGATGTGTGTGTTCAATTCGCAGAGTTAAAAGTTCCTTTTGATAGAGCAGTTTTGAAACACTGCTTTTGTAGAATCTGCTTGTTGCTATTGGGGGCTCTTTGAGGAATTTGTTGTAAACGGGATATCTTCACATACAAAGTAGACAGAAGCATTCTCAGAAACTGCTTAGTGATGTGTGCATTCAACTCACAGACTTGAACCTTTCTCTTGAAAGAGCAGTGTTGAAACACACATTTTGTAGGATGTGCAAGTGTTCGCTTGGAGCGTTTTTTTGCCTATGGTGGAAAAAGAAATATCTTCACATAAATACTAGACAGAAAGCATTCTCAGAAACTCCTTTGTGATGTGTTTGTTCTATTCAGAGTGTTGAACCTTTATTTTGATAGAGCAGAATTGAAACACTCCTTTTGTAGAATCTGCTTGTGGATATTTGGAGCTCTTTGAGGAATTCGTTGTAAACGGGATATCTTCACATACAAACTAGACAGCAGCATTCTCAGAAACTGCTTTGTGGTGTGTGCATTCAACTCACAGAGGTGAACCTTCCTTCTGAGATAGCAGTTTTTAAACAGTCTCTTTGAAATATCTGCAAGTGGATATTTGGAGCGATGGGAAGTCTAAGATTGAAAAGGAAATATCCTCACATACAAACTAGACAGAAGCAATCTCATTAACTGCTTTGTGATGTGTGCATTCAGCTCACAGAGTTGAACCTTCCTTTTGAGAGAGCAGTTTTGAAACAGTTTTTTGTAGTATCCTCAAGTGGATATATGGAGCGATGTGAGGCTTAAGATGGAAACGGGAATATCTTCACATACAAACTAGATAGAAGCATTCTCAGAAACTGCTTTGTGATGGGTGCATTCAACTCAGAGACTTGAACATTTCTTTAGACGGAGCAGTTTGAAACACACATTTGTAGAATCTGCAAGAGTTCATTTGGAGCGCTTTGATGCCTATGGTGGAAAAAGAAATATCTTCACATAAGCACTACAAAGAAGCGTTCTCCGAAACTCCTTTGTGATATGTGTGTTCAATTCACAGAGTTGAACCTTTCTTTTCATTGAGCAGTTTTGAAAAACTGCTTTTCTAGAATCTGCTTGTGGATATTTGGAGCTCTTTGAGGAATTCATTGTCAATGGGATATCTTCATATACAAACTAGCCAGAAGCATTCTCAGAAACTGCTTTGTGATGTGTGCATTCAACACACGGAGTTGAACCTTCCTTCTGAGAGAACAGTTTTCAAACAGTCTTTTTGTAGTATCTGCAAGTCGCTATTTGGAACGCTATGAGGCCTATGAGGGAAAAGGAACTATCTTCACATACAAACTAGACAGAAGCATGCTCAGAAACTGCTTTGTGATGTGTGTGTTCAATTCACAGGGTTGACTCTTTCTTTTGATTGAGCAGTTTTGAACAACCTGTTTTGTAGAATCTGCTTGTGGATATTTGTAGCTCTTGGAAGAATTCATTGTAAAAGGGATATCTTCACATACACACAAGTCAGAAGCATTCTCAGAAACTTCTTTGTGATTGTGAATTGAACTCACAGAGTTGATCCTTCCTTCTGAGAGAGCCGTTTTGAAACAATCTTTTTGAAGTATCTTCAATTGGATACTTGTAGTGATTTGAGGCCTAAGATGGAAAAGGAAATATCTTCACATACAATCTAGACAGAAGCACTCTCAGAAGCTGCTTGGTGATGTCTGCATTCAACTCACAGACTTTAACCCTTGTTTTGAAAGAGCAGTGTTGAAACACACATTTTGTAGGATCTGCAAGTGTTCATTTGGAGAGCTTTTGTGCCTATGGTGGAAAAAGCAATATCTTCACATAAATACTAGACAGAAGCATTCTCAGAAACTGCTTTGTGATGTGTGCATTCAACTCACAGAGTTGAACCTTCCTTTTGAGAGAGAGATTTTGAAACAGTCTTTTTGTAGTATCTGCAAGTGGATATTTTTAGTGATTTGAGGTGTAAGATGGAAAAGGAAATACCTTCACCTACAAACTAGACAGAAGCATTCTCAGAAACTGCTTGGTGATGTGTGCATTCAACTCACAGAGTTGAAACTTTCTTTTGAGAATGCAGTTTTGAAACAGTCTTCTTGTAGTATCTGCAAGTGGATATTTGGAGCGATTTGAGGCCTATGATGGAAAAGGAAATATGTTCACATACAAACTAGACAGAAGCGTTCTCAGAAACTGCTTTGTGATGTGTGCATTCACCTCACAGAGTGGAACCGTTCTTTGGATAGAGCAGTTTTGAAACAGTCTTTCTCTAGTATCTGCAAGTGTTCATTTTGAGCGCTTTGAGGCCCATGATGGAAAAGTTAATATTTTCACATAAACCTAGACAGAAGCTTTCTCAGGAATTTCATTGAGATGTGTGCATTAAGGTAACTGATTTGAATACGTCTTTTGATAGAGCAGTATTGAAACACTTCTTTTGTATAATCTGCCTGTGGATATCTGGAACTCTTTGAAGAATTCTTTGGAAACGGCTATCTTCACATAAAAACTAGACCCAAGCATTCTCAGAAAGTTCTTTGTGATATGTACATTGGACTCCCAGACTTGAACCTTTCTTTTGATAGAGCAGTGCTGGAACACACTTTTTGTAGAATCTTCATGTGTTCGTCTGGAGTGCTTTGTTGCCTATGGTAGAAAAAGGAATATCTTCACCTAAAAACAAGACAGAAGCATTCTCAGAGACTGCTTTGTGATGTGTGTGTTCAATTCGCTGAGTTGAATGTTCCTTTTGATAGAGCAGTTTTGAAACACTGCTTTTGTAGAATCTGCTTGTTGATATTGGGGGCTCTATGAGGAATTTGTTGTAAACGGGATATCTTCACATACAAAGTAGACAGAAGCATTCTCAGAAACTGCTCTGTGATGTGTGCATTCAACTCACAGAGTTGAACCTTCCTTTTGCGAGAGCTGTTTTGAAGCAGTCTTTTTGTGGTATCTGCAATTGGATATTTGGATCGATTTGAGGCCTAAGATGGAAAAGGAAATATCTCCACATACAAACTAGACAGAAGCATTCTCAGACACTGCGTTGTGATGTGTGCATTCAACTCACAGAGTTGAACCTTCCTTTTGAGAGCAGTTTTGAAACAGTCTTTTTGAAGTATCTGCAAGTGGATGTTTGGAGAGATTTGAGGCCTAAGATGGAAAAGGATATATCTTCACCTAAAAACTAGGCAGAAGCATTCTCAGAAACTGCTTTGTGATGTGGGGATTCAACTCACAGGCTTGAAACTTTCTTTTGATACAGCAGGGTTCAAACACACTTTTTGTAGAATCTGCAAGTGTTCATTTGGAGTGCTTTCTTGCCCATGGTGGAAAAAGAAATATCTTCACCTGAAAACTAGACAGAAACTTTCTCAGAAAATACTTTGTGATGTAGTTGTTCAATTCACAGGGTTGAACCTTTCTTTAGATAAAGCAGTTTTGAAACACTGCTTTTGTAGAATCTTCTTGTGGATATTTGGAGCTGTTTGAGGAATTCGTTTTAAACGGGATATCTTCACATTCAAACTAGTCAGAAGCATCCTCAGAAACTGGTTTGTGATGTGTGCATTCTACTCACAGAGTTGAACCTTCCTTTTGAGAGAACAGTTTTGAAACAATCTTTTTGTACTATCTGCAAGTGGATATTTGGAACAATGGGAGGACTAAGATGGAAAAGGAAATATCTTCACAGCCAAACTTGACAGAAGCTTTCTCAGAATCTGCTTTGTGATGTGTGCATTCACCTCACAGAGTGGAACCGTCCTTTTGATAGAGCAGTTCTGAAACAGTCTTTTTGTAGGATCTGCGAGTGTTCATTTTGGAGAGCTTTTAAGCCTTTGGCGGAAAAGGAAATATCTTCACAGAAAACTAGACAGAGGCATGCTCAGGAACTTCATTGAGATGTGTGCATTCAAGTAACTGAGTTGAATCTGCCTTTTGATAGAGCAGAATTGAAACAATCCTTTTGTAGAATCTACTTGTGGATATTTGGAACTCTTTCAGGAATTCGTTGGTAGTTGGTATCTTCCCAAAAAAAGGAGACCCAAGCATTCTCAAAAAGTTCTTTGAGATGTGTGCCTTCAACTCACAGACTTCAAACATTCTTTTGAGAGATCAGTGTTGGAACACGCTTTTTGTAGAATCTGCAAGGGTTCATTTAGTGCGCTTTGTTGCCTATAGTGGAAAAAGAAATATCTTCAAATGAAAACTAGACAGAAACATTCTCAGAAACTCCTTTGTGAAGTGTGTGTCAAATTCACAGAATTGAAATTTTCTTATGATAGAGCAGTTTTGAAACACCGCATTTATAGGATCTGCTTGTGGATATTTGGAGCTCTTTGAGTATTTCGTTGTAAACGGGATATCTTCACATACAAACTAGACAGAAGCATTCACAGAAACTGCTTAGTGATGTGTGCATTCAACTCACAGACTTGAACCTTTCTCTTGAAAGAGCAGTGTTGAAACAAACATTTTGTAGGATGTGCAAGTGTTCACTTGGAGCGTTTTTTTGCCTATGGTGGAAAAAGAAATATCTTCACATAAATACTAGACAGAAGCATTCTCAGAAACTCCTTTTTGATGTGTTTGTTCTATTCAGAGAGTTGAACCTTTCTTTTGATAGAGCAGTTTTGATACACTGCTTCTGTAGAATCTGCTTGTGGATATTTGGAGCTCTTTGAGGAATTCGTTGTAAACGGGATATCTTCGCATACAAACTAGACAGCAGCATTCTCAGAAACTGCTTAGTGATGTGTGCATTCAACTCACAGACTTGAACCTTTCTCTTGAAAGAGCAGTGTTGAAACACACATTTTGTAGGATGTGCAAGTGTTCACTTGGAGCGTTTTTTTGCCTATGGTGGATAAAGAAATATCTTCACATACAAACTAGACAGAAGCAATCTCATTTACTGCTTTGTGATGTGTGCATTCAGCTCACAGAGTTGAACCTTCCTTTTGAGAGAGCAGTTTTGAAACAGTTTTTTGTAGTATCCTCAAGTGGATATATGGAGCGATGTGAGGCTTAACATGGAAACGGGAATATCTTCACATAGAAACTAGATAGAAGCATTCTCAGAAACTCCTTTGTGATGGGTGCATTCAACACAGAGACTTGAACATTTCTTTAGACGGAGCAGTGTTGAAACACACATTTGTAGAATCTGCAAGTGTTCATTTGGAGCGCTTTGATGCCTATGGTGGAAAAAGAAGTATCTTCACATAAAGACTAGAAAGAAGTGTTCTCCGAAACTCCTTTGTGATATGTGTGTTCAATGCACAGAGATGAACCTTTCTTTTGATTGAGCAGTTTTGAAACGCTGCTTTTCTAGAATCTGCTTGTGGATATTTGGAGCTCTTTGAGGAATTCGCTGTCAATGGGATATCTTCACATACAAACTAGCCAGAAGCATTCTCAGAAACTGCTTTGTGATGTGTGCATTCAACACACGGAGTTGAACCTTCCTTGTGAGAGAAGAGTTTTCAAACAGTCTTTTTGTAGTACCTGCAAGTCGATATTTGGAACGATTTGAGGCCTATGAGGGAAAAGGAACTATTTTCACATACAAACTAGACAGAAGCATGCTCAGAAACTGCTTTGTGATGTGCGCATTCAACTCACAGAGTTGAACCTTCCTTTTGAGAGAGAGGTTTTGAAACAGTCTTTTTGTAGCATATACAAGTGGATATTTTTAGTGATTTGAGGTCTAATATGGAAAAGGAAATACCTTCACCTACAAACTAGACAGAAGCATTCTCAGAAACTGCTTTGTGATGTGTGCATTAAATGTACAGACTTGAAACCTTATTTTGATAGAGCAGTGTTGAAACACACTTTTTATAGAATCTGCAAGTGTTCATTTTGAGAGCTTTGTTGCCTGTGGTGGAAAAAGAAATGTGTTCACATACAAACTAGAAAGAAGCCTTCTCAGAAACTCCTTTGAGATGTTTGTGTCCAATTCACAAAGTTGAACCTTTCTATTGATACAGCAGATTTGAAACTCTGCTTTTGTAGAATCTGCTTGTGAATATTTGGAGGTATTTGAGGAATTGGACGTATACGGGATATCTTCACATACAAATTACACAGAAGCATTGTCAGAAACTGCTTTGTGCTGTGTGCATTCAACTCACAGAGTTGAAACTTTCTTTTGAGAAAGCAGTTCCGAAACAGTCTTTTTGTAGTATCTGCAAGTGGATATTTGGAGCGATTTGAGGCCTATGATGGAAAAGGAAATATGTTCACATACAAACTAGACAGAAGCGTTCTCAGAAACTGCTTTGTGATGTGTGCATTCACCTCACAGAGTGGAACCGTTCTTTGGATAGAGCAGTTTTGAAACAGTCTTTCTCTAGTATCTGCAAGTGTTCATTTTGAGCGCTTTTAGGCCCATGATGGAATAGGAAATATTTTCACATAAAAAGTAGACAGAAGCTTTCTCAGGAACTTCATTGAGATGTGTGCATTAAAGTAACTGAGTTGAATACGTCTTTTGATAGAGCAGTATTGAAACACTTATTTGTAGAATCTGCCTGTGGATATCTGGAACTCTTTGAAGAATTCTTTGGAAACGGCTATCTTCACATAAAAAGTAGACCCAAGCATTCTCAGAAAGTTCTTTGTGATATGTACATTGGACTCCCAGACTTGAACATTTCTTTTGATAGAGCAGTGTTGGAACACACTTTTTGTAGAATCTTCATGTGTTCGTTTGGAGTGCTTTGTTGCCTATGGTGGAAAAAGGAATATCTTCACCTAAAAACCAGACAGAAGCATTCTCCGAGACTGCTTTGTGATGTGTGTGTTCAATTCGCAGAGTTAAAAGTTCCTTTTGATAGAGCAGTTTTGAAACACTGCTTTTGTAGAATCTGCTTGTTGCTATTGGGGGCTCTTTGAGGAATTTGTTGTAAACGGGATATCTTCACATACAAAGTAGACAGAAGCATTCTCAGAAACTGCTTTGTGATGTGTGCATTCCAATCACAGACTTCAACCTTTCTTTTGAAAGAGCAGTGTTGAAACACACATTTTGTAGCATGTGCAAGTGTTCACTTGGAGCTCTTTTTTGCCTATGGTGGAAAAAGAAATATCTTCACATAAATACTAGACAGAAGCATTCTCAGAAACTCCTTTGTGATGTGTTTGTTCTATTCAGAGTGTTGAACCTTTATTTTGATAGAGCAGAATTGAAACACTCCTTTTGTAGAATCTGCTTGTGGATATTTGGAGCTCTTTGAGGAATTCGTTGTAAACGGGATATCTTCACATACAAACTAGACAGCAGCATTCTCAGAAACTGCCTTGTGGTGTGTGCATTCAACTCACATAGGTGAACCTTCCTTCTGAGAGAGCAGTTTTTAAACAGTCTCTTTGAAATAACTGCAAGTGGATATTTGGAGCGATGGGAAGTCTAAGATTGAAAAGGAAATATCCTCACATACAAACTAGACAGAAGCAATCTCATTAACTGCTTTGTGATGTGTGCATTCAGCTCACAGAGTTGAACCTTCCTTTTGAGAGAGCAGTTTTGAAACAGTTTTTTGTAGTATCCTCAAGTGGATATATGGAGCGATGTGAGGCTTAAGATGGAAACGGGAATATCTTCACATACAAACTAGATAGAAGCATTCTCAGAAACTGCTTTGTGATGGGTGCATTCAACTCAGAGACTTGAACATTTCTTTAGACGGAGCAGTTTGAAACACACATTTGTAGAATCTGCAAGAGTTCATTTGGAGCGCTTTGATGCCTATGGTGGAAAAAGAAATATCTTCACATAAGCACTACAAAGAAGCGTTCTCCGAAACTCCTTTGTGATATGTGTGTTCAATTCACAGAGTTGAACCTTTCTTTTCATTGAGCAGTTTTGAAAAACTGCTTTTCTAGAATCTGCTTGTGGATATTTGGAGCTCTTTGAGGAATTCATTGTCAATGGGATATCTTCATATACAAACTAGCCAGAAGCATTCTCAGAAACTGCTTTGTGATGTGTGCATTCAACACACGGAGTTGAACCTTCCTTCTGAGAGAACAGTTTTCAAACAGTCTTTTTGTAGTATCTGCAAGTCGCTATTTGGAACGCTATGAGGCCTATGAGGGAAAAGGAACTATCTTCACATACAAACTAGACAGAAGCATGCTCAGAAACTGCTTTGTGATGTGTGTGTTCAATTCACAGGGTTGACTCTTTCTTTTGATTGAGCAGTTTTGAACAACCTGTTTTGTAGAATCTGCTTGTGGATATTTGTAGCTCTTGGAAGAATTCATTGTAAAAGGGATATCTTCACATACACACAAGTCAGAAGCATTCTCAGAAACTTCTTTGTGATTGTGAATTGAACTCACAGAGTTGATCCTTCCTTCTGAGAGAGCCGTTTTGAAACAATCTTTTTGAAGTATCTTCAATTGGATACTTGTAGTGATTTGAGGCCTAAGATGGAAAAGGAAATATCTTCACATACAATCTAGACAGAAGCACTCTCAGAAGCTGCTTGGTGATGTCTGCATTCAACTCACAGACTTTAACCCTTGTTTTGAAAGAGCAGTGTTGAAACACACATTTTGTAGGATCTGCAAGTGTTCATTTGGAGAGCTTTTGTGCCTATGGTGGAAAAAGCAATATCTTCACATAAATACTAGACAGAAGCATTCTCAGAAACTGCTTTGTGATGTGTGCATTCAACTCACAGAGTTGAACCTTCCTTTTGAGAGAGAGATTTTGAAACAGTCTTTTTGTAGTATCTGCAAGTGGATATTTTTAGTGATTTGAGGTGTAAGATGGAAAAGGAAATACCTTCACCTACAAACTAGACAGAAGCATTCTCAGAAACTGCTTGGTGATGTGTGCATTCAACTCACAGAGTTGAAACTTTCTTTTGAGAATGCAGTTTTGAAACAGTCTTCTTGTAGTATCTGCAAGTGGATATTTGGAGCGATTTGAGGCCTATGATGGAAAAGGAAATATGTTCACATACAAACTAGACACAAGCGTTCTCAGAAACTGCTTTGTGATGTGTGCATTCACCTCACAGAGTGGAACCGTTCTTTGGATAGAGCAGTTTTGAAACAGTCTTTCTCTAGTATCTGCAAGTGTTCATTTTGAGCGCTTTGAGGCCCATGATGGAAAAGTTAATATTTTCACATAAACCTAGACAGAAGCTTTCTCAGGAATTTCATTGAGATGTGTGCATTAAGGTAACTGATTTGAATACGTCTTTTGATAGAGCAGTATTGAAACACTTCTTTTGTATAATCTGCCTGTGGATATCTGGAACTCTTTGAAGAATTCTTTGGAAACGCTATCTTCACATAAAAACTAGACCCAAGCATTCTCAGAAAGTTCTTTGTGATATGTACATTGGACTCCCAGACTTGAACCTTTCTTTTGATAGAGCAGTGCTGGAACACACTTTTTGTAGAATCTTCATGTGTTCGTCTGGAGTGCTTTGTTGCCTATGGTAGAAAAAGGAATATCTTCACCTAAAAACAAGACAGAAGCATTCTCAGAGACTGCTTTGTGATGTGTGTGTTCAATTCGCTGAGTTGAATGTTCCTTTTGATAGAGCAGTTTTGAAACACTGCTTTTGTAGAATCTGCTTGTTGATATTGGGGGCTCTATGAGGAATTTGTTGTAAACGGGATATCTTCACATACAAAGTAGACAGAAGCATTCTCAGAAACTGCTCTGTGATGTGTGCATTCAACTCACAGAGTTGAACCTTCCTTTTGCGAGAGCTGTTTTGAAGCAGTCTTTTTGTGGTATCTGCAATTGGATATTTGGATCGATTTGAGGCCTAAGATGGAAAAGGAAATATCTTCACATACAAACTAGACAGAAGCATTCTCAGACACTGCGTTGTGATGTGTGCATTCAACTCACAGAGTTGAACCTTCCTTTTGAGAGCAGTTTTGAAACAGTCTTTTTGAAGTATCTGCAAGTGGATGTTTGGAGAGATTTGAGGCCTAAGATGGAAAAGGATATATCTTCACCTAAAAACTAGGCAGAAGCATTCTCAGAAACTGCTTTGTGATGTGGGGATTCAACTCACAGGCTTGAAACTTTCTTTTGATAGAGCAGGGTTGAAACACACTTTTTGTAGAATCTGCAAGTGTTCATTTGGAGTGCTTTCTTGCCCATGGTGGAAAAAGAAATATCTTCACGTAAAAACTAGACAGAAACATTCTCAGAAAATACTTTGTGATGTGGTTGTTCAATTCACAGGGTTGAACCTTTCTTTAGATAAAGCAGTTTTGAAACACTGCTTTTGTAGAATCTTCTTGTGGATATTTGGAGCTGTTTGAGGAATTCGTTTTAAACGGGATATCTTCACATTCAAACTAGTCAGAAGCATTCTCAGAAACTGGTTTGTGATGTGTGCATTCTACTCACAGAGTTGAACCTTCCTTTTGAGAGAGCAGTTTTGAAACAATCTTTTTGTATTCTCTACAAGTGGATACTTGGAGCAATGGGAGGACTAAGATTGAAAAGGAAATATCTTCACGGCCAAACTTGACAGAAGCTTTCTCAGAATCTGCTTTGTGATGTGTGCATTTACCTCACAGAGTGGAACCGTCCTTTTGATAGAGCAGTTCTGAAACAGTCTTTTTGTAGGATCTGCGAGTGTTCATTTTGGAGCGCTTTTAAGCCTTTGGCGGAAAAGGAAATATCTTCACAAAAAAACTAGACAGAGGCATGCTCAGGAACTTCACTGAGATGTGTGCATTCAAGTAACTGAGTTGAATCTGCCTTTTGATAGAGCAGAATTGAAACACTCCTTTTGTAGAATCTGCTTGTGGATATTTGGAACTCTTTCAGGAGTTCGTTGGCAGCTGGTATCTTCACAAAAAAAGGAGACCCAAGGATTCTCAAAAAGTTCCTTGAGATGTGTGCCTTAAACTCACAGACTTCAAACTTTCTTTTGAGAGATCAGTGTTGGAACACGCTTTTTGTAGAATCTGCAAGTGTTCATTTAGTGCGCTTTGTTGCCTATGGTGGAAAAAGAAATATCTTCACATAAAGACTAGAAAGAAGCGTTCTCCGAAACTCCTTTGTGATATATGTGTTCAGTTCACAGAGTTGAACCTTTCTTTTGATTGAGCAGTTTTGAAACACTGCTTTTCTAGAATCTGCTTTTGGATATTTGAAGCTCTTTGAACGAATTCGCTGTCAATGTTATATCTTCACATACAAACTAGACAGAAGCATTCTCAGAAACTGCTTTTTGATGTGTGCATTCAACACACGGAGTTGAACCTTCCTTCTGAGAACAGTTTTGAAGCAGTCTTTTTGTGGTATCTGCAAGTCGATATTTGGAACGATTTGGGACCTATGAGGGAAAAGGAACTATCTTCACGTACAAGCTAGACAGAAGCATTCTCAGAAACTGCTTTGTGATGTGTGCATTCAACACACGGAGTTGAACCTTCCTTCTGAGAGAACGGTTTTCAAACAGTCTTTTTGTAGTATCTGCAAGTCGATATTTGGAACGATTTGAGGCCTATGAGGGAAAAGGAACTATCTTCACATACAAACTAGACAGAAGCATGCTCAGAAACTGCTTTGTGATGTGTGCATTCAACTCACAGAGTTGAACCTTCCTTTTGAGAGAGAGGTTTTGAAACAGTCTTTTTGTAGTATATACAAGTGGATATTTTTAGTGATTTGAGGTCTAAGATGGAAAAGGAAATACCTTCACCTACAAACTAGACAGAAGCATTCTCAGTAACTGCTTTGTGATGTGTGCATTAAACTTACAGACTTGAAACCTTATTTTGATAGATCAGTGTTGAAACACACTTTTTATGGAATCTGCAAGTGTTCATTTGGAGAGCTTTGTTGCCTGTGGTGGAAAAAGAAATGTGTTCACATACAAACTAGAAAGAAGCCTTCTCAGAAACTCCTTTGAGATGTTTGTGTCTAATTCACAAAGTTGAACCTTTCTTTTGATAGAGCAGATTTGAAACACTGCTTTTGTAGAATCTGCTTGCGTGTATTTGGAAGTCTTTGAGGAATTGGGCGTATACGGGATATCTTCACATACAAATTACACAGAAGCATTCTCAGAAACTGCTCTGTGATGTGTGCATTCCTCTCACAGAGTTGAAACTTTCTTTTGAGAAAGCTGTTCTGAAACAGTCTTTTTGTAGTATCTGCAAGTGGATATTTGGAGCGATTTGAGGCCTATGATGGAAAAGGAAATATGATCACTTACAAACTAGACAGAAGCATTCTCAGAAACTGCTTTGTGATGTGTGTGTTCAATTCACAGGGTTGACACTTTCTTTTGATTGAGCAGTTTTGAACCACCTGTTTTGTAGAATCTGCTTGTGGATATTTGTAGCTCTTGGAGGAATTCTTTGTAAAAGGGATATCTTCACATACACACTAGTCAGAAGCATTCTCAGAAACTTCTTTGTGATGTGTGAATTGAACTCACAGAGTTGAACCTTCCTTTTGAGAGAGCCGTTTTGAAACAATCTTTTTGAAGTATCTTCAATTGGATGTTTGTAGTGATTTGAGGCCTAAGATGGAAAAGGAAATATCTTCAGATACAATCTAGACAGAAGCACTCTCAGAAGCTGCTTGGTGATGTCTGCATTCAACTCACAGACTTGAAACCTTGTTTTGAAAGAGCAGTGTTGAAACACACATTTCGTACGATCTGCAAGTGTTCATTTGGAGCGCTTTTGTGCCTATGGTGGATAAAGAAATATCTTCACATAAATACTAGACAGAAGCATTCTCAGAAACTGCTTTGTGATGTGTGCATTCAACTCACAGAGTTGAACCTTCCTTTTGAGAGAGAGGTTTTGAAACAGTCTTTTTGTAGTATCTGCAAGTGGATATTTTTAGTGATTTGAGGTCTAAGATGGAAAAGGAAATACCTTCACCTACAAACTAGACAGAAGCATTCTCAGAAACTGCTTTGTGATGTGTGCATTAAACTTACAGACTTGAAACTTTATTTTGATAGAGCAGTGTTGAAACACACTTTTTATAGAATCTGCAAGTGTTCATTTGGAGAGCTTTGTTGCCTGTGGTGGAAAAAGGAATATGTTCACCTAGAAACTAGAAAGAAGACTTCTCAGAAACTCCTTTGAGATGTTTGTGTCCAATTCACAAAGTTGAACCCTTCTTTTGATAGAGCAGATTTGAAACACTGCTTTTGTAGAATCTGCTTGCGTGTATTTGGAGGTCTTTGAGGAATTGGGCGTATACGGGATATCTTCACATACAAATTACACAGAAGCATTCTCAGAAACTGCTCTGTGCTGTGTGCATTCAACTAACAGAGTTGAAACTTTCTTTTGAGAAAGCAGTTCTGAAACAGTCTTTTTGTAGTATCTGCAAGTGGATATTTGGAGCGATTTGAGGCCTATGATGGAAAAGGAAATATGTTCACATACAAACTAGACAGAAGCGTTCTGAGAAACTGCTTTGTGATGTGTGCATTCACCTCACAGAGTGGAACCTTTCTTTGGATAGAGCAGTTTTGAAACAGTCTTTCTCTAGTATCTGCAAGTGTTCATTTTGAGCGCTTTGAGGCCCATGATGGAAAAGGAAATATTTTCACATAAAAACTAGACAGAAGCTTTCTCAGGAACTTCATTGAGATGTGTGCATTAAAGTAACTGAGTTGAATACGTCTTTTGATAGAGCAGTATTGAAACACTTCTTTTGTAGAATCTGCCTGTGGATATCTGGAACTCTTTGAAGAATTCTTTGGAAACGGCTATCTTCACATAAAAAGTAGACCCAAGCATTCACAGAACGTTCTTTGTGACATGTACATTGGACTCCCAGACTTGAAACTTTCTTTTGATAGAGCAGTGTTGGAACACACTTTTTGTAGAATCTTCATGTGTTCGTTTGGAGTGCTCTGTTGCCTATGGTGGAAAAAGGAATATCTTCACCTAAAAACCAGACAGAAGCATTCTCAGAGACTGCTTTGTGATGTGTGTGTTCAATTCGCAGAGTTGAAAGTTGCTTTGGATAGAGCAGTTTTGAAACACTGCTTTTGTAGAATCTGCTTGTTGCTATTGGGGGCTCTTTGAGGAATTTGTTGTAAACGGGATATCTTCACATACAAAGTAGGCAGAAGCATTCTCAGAAACTGCTCTGTGATGTGTGCATTCAACTCACAGAGTTGAACCTTCCTTTTGCGAGAGCTGTTTTGAAGCAGTCTTTTTGTGGTATCTGCAATTGGATATTTGGATCGATTTGAGGCCTAAGATGGAAAAGGAAATATCTTCACATACAAACTAGACAGAAGCATTCTCAGACACTGCGTTGTGATGTGTGCATTCAACTCACAGAGTTGAACCTTCCTTTTGAGAGCAGTTTTGAAACAGTCTTTTTGAAGTATCTGCAAGTGGATGTTTGGAGAGATTTGAGGCCTAAGATGGAAAAGGATATATCTTCACCTAAAAACTAGGCAGAAGCATTCTCAGAAACTGCTTTGTGATGTGGGGATTCAACTCACAGGCTTGAAACTTTCTTTTGATAGAGCAGGGTTGAAACACACTTTTTGTAGAATCTGCAAGTGTTCATTTGGAGTGCTTTCTTGCCCATGGTGGAAAAAGAAATATCTTCATGTAAAAACTAGACAGAAACATTCTCAGAAAATACTTTGTGATGTGGTTGTTCAATTCACAGGGTTGAACCTTTCTTTAGATAAAGCAGTTTTGAAACACTGCTTTTGTAGAATCTTCTTGTGGATATTTGGAGCTGTTTGAGGAATTCGTTTTAAACGGGATATCTTCACATTCAAACTAGTCAGAAGCATTCTCAGAAACTGGTTTGTGATGTGTGCATTCTACTCACAGAGTTGAACCTTCCTTTTGAGAGAGCAGTTTTGAAACAATCTTTTTGTATTCTCTACAAGTGGATACTTGGAGCAATGGGAGGACTAAGATTGAAAAGGAAATATCTTCACGGCCAAACTTGACAGAAGCTTTCTCAGAATCTGCTTTGTGATGTGTGCATTTACCTCACAGAGTGGAACCGTCCTTTTGATAGAGCAGTTCTGAAACAGTCTTTTTGTAGGATCTGCGAGTGTTCATTTTGGAGCGCTTTTAAGCCTTTGGCGGAAAAGGAAATATCTTCACAAAAAAACTAGACAGAGGCATGCTCAGGAACTTCACTGAGATGTGTGCATTCAAGTAACTGAGTTGAATCTGCCTTTTGATAGAGCAGAATTGAAACACTCCTTTTGTAGAATCTGCTTGTGGATATTTGGAACTCTTTCAGGAGTTCGTTGGCAGCTGGTATCTTCACAAAAAAAGGAGACCCAAGCATTCTCAAAAAGTTCTTTGAGATGTGTGCCTTAAACTCACAGACTTCAAAGTTTCTTTTGAGAGATCAGTGTTGGAACACGCTTTTTGTAGAATCTGCAAGTGTTCATTTAGTGCGCTTTGTTGCCTACGGTGGAAAAAGAAATATCTTCAAATGAAAACTAGACAGAAACATTCTCAGAAACTCCTTTGTGAAGTGTGTGTCAAATTCACAGAATTGAAATATTCTTTTGATAGAGCAGTTTTGAAACACTGCTTTTATAGGATCTGCTTGTGGATATTTGGAGATCTTTGAGGATTTCGTTGTAAACGGGATATCTTCACATACAAACTAGACAGAAGCATTCTCAGAAACTGCTTTGTGATGTGTGCATTCCAATCACAGACTTCAACCTTTCTTTTGAAAGAGCAGTGTTCAAACACACATTTTGTAGGATGTGCAAGTGTTCACTTGGAGCGCTTTTTTGCCTATGGTGGAAAAAGAAATATCTTCACATAAATACTAGACAGAAGCATTCTCAGAAACGCCTTAGTGATGTGTTTGTTCTATTCAGAGAGTTGAACCTTTCTTTTGATAGAGCAGTTTTGATACACTGCTTCTGTAGAATCTGCTTGTGGATATTTGGAGCTCTTTGAGGAATTCGTTGTAAACGGGATATCTTCACATACAAACTAGACAGAAGCATTCTCAGAAACTGCTTTGTGGTGTGGGCATTCAACTCACAGAGTTGAACCTTCCTTCTGAGAGAGCAGTTTTTAAACAGTCTCTTTGAAATATCTGCAAGTGGATATTTGGAGCGATGGGAAGTCTAAGTTTGAAAAGGAAATATCCTCACATACAAACTAGACAGAAGCAATCTCATTAACTGCTTTGCGATGTGTGCATTCAGCTCACAGAGTTGAACCTTCCTTTTGAGAGAGCAGTTTTGAAACAGTTTTTTGTAGTATCCTCAAGTGGATATATGGAGCGATGTGAGGCTTAAGATGGAAACGGGAATATCTTCACATGCAAACTAGAAAGAAGCATTCTCAGAAACTGCTTTGTGATGGGTGCATTCAACTCAGAGACTTGAACATTTCTTTAGACGGTGCAGTGTTGATACACACATTTGTAGAATCTGCAAGAGTTCATTTGGAGCGCTTTGATGCCTATGGTGGAAAAAGAAATATCTTCACATAAACACTAAAAAGAAGCGTTCTCCGAAACTCCTTTGTGATATGTGTGTTCAATTCACAGAGTTGAACCTTTCTTTTGATTGAGCAGTTTTGAAACACTGCTTTTCTAGAATCTGCTTGTGGATATTTGGAGCTCTTTGAGGAATTCGCTGTCAATGGGATATCTTCACACACAAACTAGCCAGAAGCATTCTGAGAAACTGCTTTTTGATGTGTGCATTCAACACACGGAGTTGAACCTTCCTTCTGAGAACAGTTTTGAAGCAGTCTTTTTGTGGTATCTGCAAGTCGATATTTGGAACGATTTGGGACCTATGAGGGAAAAGGAACTATCTTCACATACAAGCTAGACAGAAGCATACTCAGAAACTGCTTTGTGATGTGTGCATTCAACTCACAGAGTTGAGCCTTCCTTTTGAGAGAGAGGTTTTGAAACAGTCTTTTTGTAGTATATACAAGTGGATATTTTTAGTGATTTGAGGTCTAATATGGAAAAGGAAATACCTTCACCTACAAACTAGACAGAAGCATTCTCAGAAACTGCTTTGTGATGTGTGCATTAAACTTACAGACTTGAAACCTTATTTTGATATAGCAGTGTTGAAACACACTTTTTATAGAACCTGCAAGTGTTCATTTGGAGAGCTTTGTTGCCTGTGGTGGAAAAAGAAATGTGTTCACATACAAACTAGAAAGAAGCCTTCTCAGAAACTCCTTTGAGATGTTTGTGTCTAATTCACAAAGTTGAACCTTTCTTTTGATAGAGCAGATTTGCAACACTGCTTTTGTAGAATCTGCTTGCGTGTATTTGGAGGTCTTTGAGGAATTGGGCGTATACGGGATATCTTCACATACAAATTACACAGAAGCATTCTCAGAAACTGCTCTGTGATGTGTGCATTCAACTAACAGAGTTGAAACTTTCTTTGGAGAAAGCAGTTCTGAAACAGTCTTTTTGTAGTATCTGCAAGTGGATACTTGGAGCGATTTGAGGCCTATGATGGAAAAGGAAATATGTTCACTTACAAACTAGACAGAAGCATTCTCAGAAACTGCTTTGTGATGTGTGTGTTCAATTCACAGGGTTGACTCTTTCTTTTGATTGAGCAGTTTTGAACCACCTGTTTTGTAGAATCTGCTTGTGGATATTTGTAGCTCTTGGAGGAATTCTTTGTAAAAGGGATATCTTCACATACACACTAGTCAGAAGCATTCTCAGAAACTTCTTTGTGATGTGTGAATTGAACTCACAGAGTTGAACCTTCCTTTTGAGAGAGCCGTTTTGAAACAATCTTTTTGAAGTATCTTCAATTGGATGTTTGTAGTGATTTGGGGCCTAAGATGGAATAGGAAATATCTTCACATACAATCTAGACAGAAGCACTCTCAGAAGCTGCTTGGTGATGTCTGCATTCAACTCACAGACTTGAACCCTTGTTTTGAAAGAGCAGTGTTGAAACACACATTTTGTACGATCTGCAAGTGTTCATTTGGAACGCTGTTGTGCCTATGGTGGATAAAGAAATATCTTCACATAAATACTAGAAAGTAGCATTCTCAGAAACTGCTTTGTGATGTGTGCATTCAACTCACAGAGTTGCACCTTCCTTTTGAGAGAGAGGTTTTGAAACAGTCTTTTTGTAGTATCTGCAAGTGGATATTTTTAGTGATTTGAGGTCTAAGATGGAAAAGGAAATACCTTCACCTACAAACTAGACAGAAGCATTCTCAGAAACTGCTTTGTGATGTGTGCATTAAACTTACAGACTTGAAACTTTATTTTGATAGAGCAGTGTTGAAACACACTTTTTATAGAATCTGCAAGTGTTCATTTGGAGAGCTTTGTTGCCTGTGGTGGAAAAAGGAATATGTTCACCTAGAAACTAGAAAGAAGCCTTCTCAGAAACTCCTTTGAGATGTTTGTGTCCAATTCACAAAGTTGAACCTTTCTTTTGATAGAGCAGATTTGAAACACTGCTTTTGTAGAATCTGCTTGCGGATATTTGGCGGTCTTTTAGGAATTGGGCGTATACGGGAGATCTTCACATACAAGTTACACAGAAGCATTCTCAGAAACTGCTTTGTGATGTGTGCATTCAACTCACAGAGTTGAAACTTTCTTTTGAGAAAGCAGTTTTGAAACAGTCTTTTTGTAGTATCTGCAAGTGGATATTTGGAGCGATTTGAGGCCTATGATGGAAAAGGAAATACGTTCACATACAAACTAGACAGAAGCGTTCTGAGAAACTGCTTTGTGATGTGTGCATTCACCTCACAGAGTGGAACCTTTCTTTGGATAGAGCAGTTTTGAAACAGTCTTTCTCTAGTATCTGCAAGTGTTCATTTTGAGCGCTTTGAGGCCCATGATGGAAAAGGAAATATTTTCACAGAAAAACTAGACAGAAGCTTTCTCAGGAACTTCATTGAGATGTGTGCATTAAAGTAACTGAGTGGAATACGTCTTTTGATAGAGCAGTATTGAAACACTTCTTTTGTAGAATCTGCCTGTGGATATCTGGAACTCTTTGAAGAATTCTTTGGAAACGGCTATCTTCACATAAAAAGTAGACCCAAGCATTCACAGAACGTTCTTTGTGACATGTACATTGGACTCCCAGACTTGAAACTTTCTTTTGATAGAGCAGTGTTGGAACACACTTTTTGTAGAATCTTCATGTGTTCGTTTGGAGTGCTCTGTTGCCTATGGTGGAAAAAGGAATATCTTCACCTAAAAACCAGACAGAAGCATTCTCAGAGACTGCTTTGTGATGTGTGTGTTCAATTCGCAGAGTTGAAAGTTGCTTTTGATAGAGCAGTTTTGAAACACTGCTTTTGTAGAATCTGCTTGTTGCTATTGGGGGCTCTTTGAGGAATTTGTTGTAAACGGGATATCTTCACATACAAAGTAGACAGAAGCATTCTCAGAAACTGCTCTGTGATGTGTGCATTCAACTCACAGAGTTGAACCTTCCTTTTGCGAGAGCTGTTTTGAAGCAGTCTTTTTGTGGTATCTGCAATTGGATATTTGGATCGATTTGAGGCCTAAGATGGAAAAGGAAATATCTTCACATACAAACTAGACAGAAGCATTCTCAGACACTGCGTTGTGATGTGTGCATTCAACTCACAGAGTTGAACCTTCCTTTTGAGAGCAGTTTTGAAACAGTCTTTTTGAAGTATCTGCAAGTGGATGTTTGGAGAGATTTGAGGCCTAAGATGGAAAAGGATATATCTTCACCTAAAAACTAGGCAGAAGCATTCTCAGAAACTGCTTTGTGATGTGGGGATTCAACTCACAGGCTTGAAACTTTCTTTTGATAGAGCAGGGTTCAAACACACTTTTTGTAGAATCTGCAAGTGTTCATTTGGAGTGCTTTCTTGCCCATGGTGGAAAAAGAAATATCTTCACGTAAAAACTAGACAGAAACATTCTCAGAAAATACTTTGTGATGTGGTTGTTCAATTCACAGGGTTGAACCTTTCTTTAGATAAAGCAGTTTTGAAACACTGCTTTTGTAGAATCTTCTTGTGGATATTTGGAGCTGTTTGAGGAATTCGTTTTAAACGGGATATCTTCACATTCAAACTAGTCAGAAGCTTTCTCAGAAACTTCTTTGTGATGTGTGAATTGAATTCACAGAGTTGAATCTTCCTTTTGAGAGAGCCGTTTTGAAACAATCTTTTTGAAGTATCTTCAATTGGATGTTTGTAGTGATTTGAGGCCTAAGATGGAAAAGGAAATATCTTCACGGCCAAACTTGACAGAAGCTTTCTCAGAATCTGCTTTGTGATGTGTGCATTCACCTCACAGAGTGGAACCGTCCTTTTGATAGAGCAGTTCTGAAACAGTCTTTTTGTAGGATCTGCGAGTGTTCATTTTGGAGAGCTTTTAAGCCTTTGGCGGAAAAGGAAATATCTTCACAGAAAACTAGACAGAGGCATGCTCAGGAACTTCATTGAGATGTGTGCATTCAAGTAACTGAGTTGAATCTGCCTTTTGATAGAGCAGAATTGAAACAATCCTTTTGTAGAATCTACTTGTGGATATTTGGAACTCTTTCAGGAATTCGTTGGTAGTTGGTATCTTCCCAAAAAAAGGAGACCCAAGCATTCTCAAAAAGTTCTTTGAGATGTGTGCCTTCAACTCACAGACTTCAAACATTCTTTTGAGAGATCAGTGTTGGAACACGCTTTTTGTAGAATCTGCAAGGGTTCATTTAGTGCGCTTTGTTGCCTATAGTGGAAAAAGAAATATCTTCAAATGAAAACTAGACAGAAACATTCTCAGAAACTCCTTTGTGAAGTGTGTGTCAAATTCACAGAATTGAAATTTTCTTATGATAGAGCAGTTTTGAAACACCGCATTTATAGGATCTGCTTGTGGATATTTGGAGCTCTTTGAGTATTTCGTTGTAAACGGGATATCTTCACATACAAACTAGACAGAAGCATTCACAGAAACTGCTTAGTGATGTGTGCATTCAACTCACAGACTTGAACCTTTCTCTTGAAAGAGCAGTGTTGAAACAAACATTTTGTAGGATGTGCAAGTGTTCACTTGGAGCGTTTTTTTGCCTATGGTGGAAAAAGAAATATCTTCACATAAATACTAGACAGAAGCATTCTCAGAAACTCCTTTTTGATGTGTTTGTTCTATTCAGAGAGTTGAACCTTTCTTTTGATAGAGCAGTTTTGATACACTGCTTCTGTAGAATCTGCTTGTGGATATTTGGAGCTCTTTGAGGAATTCGTTGTAAACGGGATATCTTCGCATACAAACTAGACAGCAGCATTCTCAGAAACTGCTTAGTGATGTGTGCATTCAACTCACAGACTTGAACCTTTCTCTTGAAAGAGCAGTGTTGAAACACACATTTTGTAGGATGTGCAAGTGTTCACTTGGAGCGTTTTTTTGCCTATGGTGGATAAAGAAATATCTTCACATACAAACTAGACAGAAGCAATCTCATTTACTGCTTTGTGATGTGTGCATTCAGCTCACAGAGTTGAACCTTCCTTTTGAGAGAGCAGTTTTGAAACAGTTTTTTGTAGTATCCTCAAGTGGATATATGGAGCGATGTGAGGCTTAACATGGAAACGGGAATATCTTCACATAGAAACTAGATAGAAGCATTCTCAGAAACTCCTTTGTGATGGGTGCATTCAACACAGAGACTTGAACATTTCTTTAGACGGAGCAGTGTTGAAACACACATTTGTAGAATCTGCAAGTGTTCATTTGGAGCGCTTTGATGCCTATGGTGGAAAAAGAAGTATCTTCACATAAAGACTAGAAAGAAGTGTTCTCCGAAACTCCTTTGTGATATGTGTGTTCAATGCACAGAGATGAACCTTTCTTTTGATTGAGCAGTTTTGAAACACTGCTTTTCTAGAATCTGCTTGTGGATATTTGGAGCTCTTTGAGGAATTCGCTGTCAATGGGATATCTTCACATACAAACTAGCCAGAAGCATTCTCAGAAACTGCTTTGTGATGTGTGCATTCAACACACGGAGTTGAACCTTCCTTCTGAGAGAACAGTTTTCAAACAGTCTTTTTGTAGTATCTGCAAGTCGCTATTTGGAACGCTATGAGGCCTATGAGGGAAAAGGAACTATCTTCACATACAAACTAGACAGAAGCATGCTCAGAAACTGCTTTGTGATGTGTGTGTTCAATTCACAGGGTTGACTCTTTCTTTTGATTGAGCAGTTTTGAACAACCTGTTTTGTAGAATCTGCTTGTGGATATTTGTAGCTCTTGGAAGAATTCATTGTAAAAGGGATATCTTCACATACACACAAGTCAGAAGCATTCTCAGAAACTTCTTTGTGATTGTGAATTGAACTCACAGAGTTGATCCTTCCTTCTGAGAGAGCCGTTTTGAAACAATCTTTTTGAAGTATCTTCAATTGGATACTTGTAGTGATTTGAGGCCTAAGATGGAAAAGGAAATATCTTCACATACAATCTAGACAGAAGCACTCTCAGAAGCTGCTTGGTGATGTCTGCATTCAACTCACAGACTTTAACCCTTGTTTTGAAAGAGCAGTGTTGAAACACACATTTTGTAGGATCTGCAAGTGTTCATTTGGAGAGCTTTTGTGCCTATGGTGGAAAAAGCAATATCTTCACATAAATACTAGACAGAAGCATTCTCAGAAACTGCTTTGTGATGTGTGCATTCAACTCACAGAGTTGAACCTTCCTTTTGAGAGAGAGATTTTGAAACAGTCTTTTTGTAGTATCTGCAAGTGGATATTTTTAGTGATTTGAGGTGTAAGATGGAAAAGGAAATACCTTCACCTACAAACTAGACAGAAGCATTCTCAGAAACTGCTTGGTGATGTGTGCATTCAACTCACAGAGTTGAAACTTTCTTTTGAGAATGCAGTTTTGAAACAGTCTTCTTGTAGTATCTGCAAGTGGATATTTGGAGCGATTTGAGGCCTATGATGGAAAAGGAAATATGTTCACATACAAACTAGACACAAGCGTTCTCAGAAACTGCTTTGTGATGTGTGCATTCACCTCACAGAGTGGAACCGTTCTTTGGATAGAGCAGTTTTGAAACAGTCTTTCTCTAGTATCTGCAAGTGTTCATTTTGAGCGCTTTGAGGCCCATGATGGAAAAGTTAATATTTTCACATAAACCTAGACAGAAGCTTTCTCAGGAATTTCATTGAGATGTGTGCATTAAGGTAACTGATTTGAATACGTCTTTTGATAGAGCAGTATTGAAACACTTCTTTTGTATAATCTGCCTGTGGATATCTGGAACTCTTTGAAGAATTCTTTGGAAACGCTATCTTCACATAAAAACTAGACCCAAGCATTCTCAGAAAGTTCTTTGTGATATGTACATTGGACTCCCAGACTTGAACCTTTTCTTTTGATAGAGCAGTGCTGGAACACACTTTTTGTAGAATCTTCATGTGTTCGTCTGGAGTGCTTTGTTGCCTATGGTAGAAAAAGGAATATCTTCACCTAAAAACAAGACAGAAGCATTCTCAGAGACTGCTTTGTGATGTGTGTGTTCAATTCGCAGAGTTGAAAGTTGCTTTTGATAGAGCAGTTTTGAAACACTGCTTTTGTAGAATCTGCTTGTTGCTATTGGGGGCTCTTTGAGGAATTTGTTGTAAACGGGATATCTTCACATACAAAGTAGGCAGAAGCATTCTCAGAAACTGCTCTGTGATGTGTGCATTCAACTCACAGAGTTGAACCTTCCTTTTGCGAGAGCTGTTTTGAAGCAGTCTTTTTGTGGTATCTGCAATTGGATATTTGGATCGATTTGAGGCCTAAGATGGAAAAGGAAATATCTTCACATACAAACTAGACAGAAGCATTCTCAGACACTGCGTTGTGATGTGTGCATTCAACTCACAGAGTTGAACCTTCCTTTTGAGAGCAGTTTTGAAACAGTCTTTTTGAAGTATCTGCAAGTGGATGTTTGGAGAGATTTGAGGCCTAAGATGGAAAAGGATATATCTTCACCTAAAAACTAGGCAGAAGCATTCTCAGAAACTGCTTTGTGATGTGGGGATTCAACCCACAGACTTGAAACTTTCTTTTGATAGAGCAGTGTTGAAACACACTTTTTGTAGAATCTGCAAGTGTTCATTTGGAGTGCTTTCTTCCCCATGGTGGAAAAAGAAATATCTTCACCTAAAAACTAGAGAGAAACATTCTCAGAAAATACTTTGTGATGTGGTTGTTCAATTCACAGGGTTGAACCTTTCTTTAGATAAAGCAGTTTTGAAACACTGCTTTTGTAGAATCTTCTTGTGGATATTTGGAGCTGTTTGAGGAATTCGTTTTAAACGGGATATCTTCACATTCAAACTAGTCAGAAGCATTCTCAGAAACTGGTTTGTGATGTGTGCATTCTACTCACAGAGTTGAACCTTCCTTTTGAGAGAGCAGTTTTGAAACAATCTTTTTGTATTCTCTACAAGTGGATACTTGGAGCAATGGGAGGACTAAGATTGAAAAGGAAATATCTTCACGGCCAAACTTGACAGAAGCTTTCTCAGAATCTGCTTTGTGATGTGTGCATTTACCTCACAGAGTGGAACCGTCCTTTTGATAGAGCAGTTCTGAAACAGTCTTTTTGTAGGATCTGCGAGTGTTCATTTTGGAGTGCTTTTAAGCCTTTGGCGGAAAAGGAAATATCTTCACAAAAAAACTAGACAGAGGCATGCTCAGGAACTTCACTGAGATGTGTGCATTCAAGTAACTGAGTTGAATCTGCCTTTTGATAGAGCAGAATTGAAACACTCCTTTTGTAGAATCTGCTTGTGGATATTTGGAACTCTTTCAGGAGTTCGTTGGCAGCTGGTATCTTCACAAAAAAAGGAGACCCAAGCATTCTCAAAATGTTCTTTGAGATGTGTGCCTTAAACTCACAGACTTCAAACTTTCTTTTGAGAGATCAGGGTTGGAACACGCTTTTTGTAGAATCTGCAAGTGTTCATTTAGTGCGCTTTGTTGCCTACGGTGGAAAAAGAAATATCTTCAAATGAAAACTAGACAGAAACATTCTCAGAAACTCCTTTGTGAAGTGTGTGTCAAATTCACAGAATTGAAATATTCCTTTGATAGCGCAGCTTTGAAACACCGCTTTTATAGGATCTGCTTGTGGATATCTGGAGCTCTTTGAGGAATTTGTTGTAAACGGGATATCTTCACATACAAAGTAGACAGAAGCATTCTCAGAAACTGCTTTGTGATGTGTGCATTCCAATCACAGACTTCAACCTTTCTTTTGAAAGAGCAGTGTTGAAACACACATTTTGTAGCATGTGCAAGTGTTCACTTGGAGCTCTTTTTTGCCTATGGGGAAAAAGAAATATCTTCACATAAATACTAGACAGAAAGCATTCTCAGAAACGCCTTAGTGATGTGTTTGTTCTATTCAGAGAGTTGAACCTTTCTTTTGATAGAGCAGTTTTGATACACTGCTTCTGTAGAATCTGCTTGTGGATATTTGGAGCTCTTTGAGGAATTCGTTGTAAACGGGATATCTTCACATACAAACTAGACAGAGCATTCTCAGAAACTGCTTTGTGGTGTGTGCATTCAACTCACAGAGTTGAACCTTCCTTCTGAGAGAGCAGTTTTTAAACAGTCTCTTTGAAATATCTGCAAGTGGATATTTGGAGCGATGGGAAGTCTAAGTTTGAAAAGGAAATATCCTCACATACAAACTAGACAGAAGCAATCTCATTAACTGCTTTGCGATGTGTGCATTCAGCTCACAGAGTTGAACCTTCCTTTTGAGAGAGCAGTTTTGAAACAGTTTTTTGTAGTATCCTCAAGTGGATATATGGAGCGATGTGAGGCTTAAGATGGAAACGGGAATATCTTCACATGCAAACTAGAAAGAAACATTCTCAGAAACTGCTTTGTGATGTGCGCATTCAACTCAGAGACTTGAACATTTCTTTTGACGGAGCAGTGTTGAAACACACATTTGTAGAATCTGCAAGAGTTCATTTGGAGCGCTTTGATGCCTATGGTGGAAAAAGAAATATCTTCACATAAAGACTAGAAAGAAGCGTTCTCCGAAACTCCTTTGTGATATGTGTGTTCAGTTCACAGAGTTGAACCTTTCTTTTGATTGAGCAGTTTTGAAACACTGCTTCTCTAGAATCTGCTTGTGGATATTTGGAGCTCTTTGAGGAATTCGCTGTCAATGGGATATCTTCACATACAAACTAGAGAGAGTAAGCGTTCTCCGAAACTCCTTTGTGATATATGTGTTCAGTTCACAGAGTTGAACCTTTCTTTTGATTGAGCAGTTTTGAAACACTGCTTTTCTAGAATCTGCTTTTGGATATTTGAAGCTCTTTGACGAATTCACTGTCAATGTTATATCTTCACATACAAACTAGACAGAAGCATTCTCAGAAACTGCTTTTTGATGTGTGCATTCAACACACGGAGTTGAACCTTCCTTCTGAGAACAGTTTTGAAGCAGTCTTTTTGTGGCATCTGCAAGTCGATATTTGGAACGATTTGGGACCTATGAGGGAAAAGGAACTATCTTCACATACAAGCTAGACAGAAGCATTCTCAGAAACTGCTTTGTGATGTGTGCATTCAACACACGGAGTTGAACCTTCCTTCTGAGGGAACGGTTTTCAAACAGTCTTTTTGTAGTATCTGCAAGTCGATATTTGGAACGATTTGAGGCCTATGAGGGAAAAGGAACTATCTTCACATACAAACTAGAAAGAAGCATGCTCAGAAACTGCTGTGTGATGTGTGCATTCAACTCACAGAGTTGAACCTTCCTTTTGAGAGAGACGTTTTGAAACAGTCTTTTTGTAGTATGTACAGGTGGATATTTTTGGTGATTTGAGGTCTAAGATGGAAAAGGAAATACCTTCACCTACAAACTAGACAGAAGCATTCTCAGAAACTGCTTTGTGATGTGTGCATTAAACTTACAGACTTGAAACCTTATTTTGATAGATCAGTGTTGAAACACACTTTTTATGGAATCTGCAAGTGTTCATTTGGAGAGCTTTGTTGCCTGTGGTGGAAAAAGAAATGTGTTCACATACAAACTAGAAAGAAGCCTTTTCAGAAACTCCTTTGAGATGTTTGTGTCCAATTTACAAAGTTGAACCTTTCTTTTGATACAGCAGATTTGAAACACTGCTTTTGTAGAATGTGCTTGTGGATATTTGGAGGTCTTTGAGGAATTGGGCGTATACGGGATATCTTCACATACAAATTACACAGAAGCATTCTCAGAAACTGCTCTGTGATGTGTGCATTCCTCTCACAGAGTTGAAACTTTCTTTTGAGAAAGCTGTTCTGAAACAGTCTTTTTTTGGTATCTGCAAGTGGATATTTGGAGCGATTTGAGGCCTATGATGGAAAAGGAAATATGTTTACTTACAAACTAGACAGAAGCATTCTCAGAAACTGCTTTGTGATGTGTGTGTTCAATTCACAGGGTTGACTCTTTCTTTTGATTGAGCAGTTTTGAACCACCTGTTTTGTAGAATCTGCTTGTGGATATTTGTAGCTCTTGGAGGAATTCTTTGTAAAAGGGATATCTTCACATACACACTAGTCAGAAGCATTCTCAGAAACTTCTTTGTGATGTGTGAATTGAACTCACAGAGTTGAACCTTCCTTTTGAGAGAGCCGTTTTGAAACAATCTTTTTGAAGTATCTTCAATTGGATGTTTGTAGTGATTTGAGGCCTAAGATGGAAGAGGAAATATCTTCACATACAATCTAGACAGAAGCACTCTCAGAAGCTGCTTGGTGATGTCTGCATTCAACTCACAGACTTGAACCCTTGTTTTGAAAGAGCAGTGTTGAAACACACATTTTGTACGATCTGCAAGTGTTCATTTGGAACGCTGTTGTGCCTATGGTGGATAAAGAAATATCTTCACATAAATACTAGAAAGTAGCATTCTCAGAAACTGCTTTGTGATGTGTGCATTCAACTCACAGAGTTGAACCTTCCTTTTGAGAGAGAGGTTTTGAAACAGTCTTTTTGTAGTATCTGCAAGTGGATATTTTTAGTGATTTGAGGTCTAAGATGGAAAAGGAAATACCTTCACCTACAAACTAGACAGAAGCATTCTCAGAAACTGCTTTGTGATGTGTGCATTAAACTTACACACTTGAAACTTTATTTTGATAGAGCAGTGTTGAAACACACTTTTTATAGAATCTGCAAGTGTTCATTTGGAGAGCTTTGTTGCCTGTGGTGGAAAAAGGAATATGTTCACATAGAAACTAGAAAGAAGCATTCTCAGAAACTCCTTTTCGATGTTTGTGTCCAATTCACAAAGTTGAACCTTTCTTTTGATAGAGCAGATTTGAAACACTGCTTTTGTAGACTCTGCTTGCGGATATTTGGAGGTCTTTGAGGAATGGGGCGTATGCGGGAGATCTTCACCTACAAGTTACACAGAAGCATTCTCAGAAACTGCTTTGTGATGTGCGCATTCAACTCACAGAGTTGAAACTTTCTTTTGAGAAAGCAGTTTTGAAACAGTCTTTTTATAGTATCTGCAAGTGGATATTTGGAGCGATTTGAGGCCTATGATGGAAAAGGAAATATGTTCACATACAAACTAGACAGAAGAGTTCTCAGAAACTGCTTTGTGATGTGTGCATTCACCTCACAGAGTGGAACCGTTCTTTGGATAGAGCAGTTTTGAAACAGTCTTTCTCTAGTATCTGCAAGTGTTCATTTTGAGCGCTTTGAGGCCCATGATGGAAAAGGAAATATTTTCACATAAAAACTAGACAGAAGCTTTCTCAGGAACTTCATTGAGATGTGTGCATTAAAGTAACTGAGTGGAATACGTCTTTTGATAGAGCAGTATTGAAACACTTCTTTTGTAGAATCTGCCTGTGGATATCTGGAACTCTTTGAAGAATTCTTTGGAAACGGCTATCTTCACATAAAAAGTAGACCCAAGCATTCTCAGAAAGTTCTTTGTGATATGTACATTGGACTCCCAGACTTGAACCTTTCTTTTGATACAGCAGTGTTGGAACACACTTTTTGTAGAATCTTCATGTGTGTGTTTGGAGTGCTTTGTTGCCTATGGTGGAAAAAGGAATATCTTCACCTAAAAACCAGACAGAAGCATTCTCAGAGACTGCTTTGTGATGTGTGTGTTCAATTCGCAGAGTTGAAAGTTGCTTTTGATAGAGCAGTTTTGAAACACTGCTTTTGTAGAATCTGCTTGTTGCTATTGGGGGCTCTTTGAGGAATTTGTTGTAAACGGGATATCTTCACATACAAAGTAGACAGAGGCATTCTCAGAAACTGCTCTGTGATGTGTGCATTCAACTCACAGAGTTGAACCTTCCTTTTGCGAGAGCTGTTTTGAAGCAGTCTTTTTGTGGTATCTGCAATTGGATATTTGGATCGATTTGAGGCCTAAGATGGAAAAGGAAATATCTTCACATACAAACTAGACAGAAGCATTCTCAGACACTGCGTTGTGATGTGTGCATTCAACTCACAGAGTTGAACCTTCCTTTTGAGAGCAGTTTTGAAACAGTCTTTTTGAAGTATCTGCAAGTGGATGTTTGGAGAGATTTGAGGCCTAAGATGGAAAAGGATATATCTTCACCTAAAAACTAGGCAGAAGCATTCTCAGAAACTGCTTTGTGATGTGGGGATTCAACTCACAGGCTTGAAACTTTCTTTTGATAGAGCAGGGTTCAAACACACTTTTTGTAGAATCTGCAAGTGTTCATTTGGAGTGCTTTCTTGCCCATGGTGGAAAAAGAAATATCTTCACGTAAAAACTAGACAGAAACATTCTCAGAAAATACTTTGTGATGTGGTTGTTCAATTCACAGGGTTGAACCTTTCTTTAGATAAAGCAGTTTTGAAACACTGCTTTTGTAGAATCTTCTTGTGGATATTTGGAGCTGTTTGAGGAATTCGTTTTAAACGGGATATCTTCACATTCAAACTAGTCAGAAGCATTCTCAGAAACTGGTTTGTGATGTGTGCATTCTACTCACAGAGTTGAACCTTCCTTTTGAGAGAGCAGTTTTGAAACAATCTTTTTGTATTCTCTACAAGTGGATACTTGGAGCAATGGGAGGACTAAGATTGAAAAGGAAATATCTTCACGGCCAAACTTGACAGAAGCTTTCTCAGAATCTGCTTTGTGATGTGTGCATTTACCTCACAGAGTGGAACCGTCCTTTTGATAGAGCAGTTCTGAAACAGTCTTTTTGTAGGATCTGCGAGTGTTCATTTTGGAGTGCTTTTAAGCCTTTGGCGGAAAAGGAAATATCTTCACAAAAAAACTAGACAGAGGCATGCTCAGGAACTTCACTGAGATGTGTGCATTCAAGTAACTGAGTTGAATCTGCCTTTTGATAGAGCAGAATTGAAACACTCCTTTTGTAGAATCTGCTTGTGGATATTTGGAACTCTTTCAGGAGTTCGTTGGCAACTGGTATCTTCACAAAAAAAGGAGACCCAAGGATTCTCAAAAAGTTCCTTGAGATGTGTGCCTTAAACTCACAGACTTCAAACTTTCTTTTGAGAGATCAGTGTTGGAACACGCTTTTTGTAGAATCTGCAAGTGTTCATTTAGTGCGCTTTGTTGCCTATGGTGGAAAAAGAAATATCTTCAAATGAAAACTAGACAGAAACATTCTCAGAAACTCCTTTGTGAAGTGTGTGTCAAATTCACAGAATTGAAATATTCCTTTGATAGCGCAGCTTTGAAACACCGCTTTTATAGGATCTGCTTGTGGATATCTGGAGCTCTTTGAGGAATTTGTTGTAAACGGGATATCTTCACATACAAAGTAGACAGAAGCATTCTCAGAAACTGCTTTGTGATGTGTGCATTCCAATCACAGACTTCAACCTTTCTTTTGAAAGAGCAGTGTTCAAACACACATTTTGTAGGATGTGCAAGTGTTCACTTGGAGCGCTTTTTTGCCTATGGTGGAAAAAGAAATATCTTCACATAAATACTAGACAGAAGCATTCTCAGAAACGCCTTAGTGATGTGTTTGTTCTATTCAGAGAGTTGAACCTTTCTTTTGATAGAGCAGTTTTGATACACTGCTTCTGTAGAATCTGCTTGTGGATATTTGGAGCTCTTTGAGGAATTCGTTGTAAACGGGATATCTTCACATACAAACTAGACAGAAGCCATTCTCAGAAACTGCTTTGTGGTGTGTGCATTCAACTCACAGAGGTGAACCTTCCTTCTGAGATAGCAGTTTTTAAACAGTCTCTTTGAAATATCTGCAAGTGGATATTTGGAGCGATGGGAAGTCTAAGATTGAAAAGGAAATATCCTCACATACAAACTAGACAGAAGCAATCTCATTAACTGCTTTGCGATGTGTGCATTCAGCTCACAGAGTTGAACCTTCCTTTTGAGAGAGCAGTTTTGAAACAGTTTTTTGTAGTATCCTCAAGTGGATATATGGAGCGATGTGAGGCTTAAGATGGAAACGGGAATATCTTCACATGCAAACTAGAAAGAAGCATTCTCAGAAACTGCTTTGTGATGGGTGCATTCAACTCAGAGACTTGAACATTTCTTTAGACGGAGCAGTGTTGAAACACACATATGCAGAATCTGCAAGAGTTCATTTGGAGCGCTTTGATGCCTATGGTGGAAAAAGAAATATCTTCACATAAAGACTAGAAAGAAGCGTTCTCCGAAACTCCTTTGTGATATATGTGTTCAGTTCACAGAGTTGAACCTTTCTTTTGATTGAGCAGTTTTGAAACACTGCTTTTCTAGAATCTGCTTTTGGATATTTGAAGCTCTTTGAACGAATTCGCTGTCAATGTTATATCTTCACATACAAACTAGACAGAAGCATTCTCAGAAACTGCTTTTTGATGTGTGCATTCAACACACGGAGTTGAACCTTCCTTCTGAGAACAGTTTTGAAGCAGTCTTTTTGTGGTATCTGCAAGTCGATATTTGGAACGATTTGGGACCTATGAGGGAAAAGGAACTATCTTCACGTACAAGCTAGACAGAAGCATTCTCAGAAACTGCTTTGTGATGTGTGCATTCAACACACGGAGTTGAACCTTCCTTCTGAGAGAACGGTTTTCAAACAGTCTTTTTGTAGTATCTGCAAGTCGATATTTGGAACGATTTGAGGCCTATGAGGGAAAAGGAACTATCTTCACATACAAACTAGACAGAAGCATGCTCAGAAACTGCTGTGTGATGTGTGCATTCAACTCACAGAGTTGAACCTTCCTTTTGAGAGAGACGTTTTGAAACAGTCTTTTTGTAGTATGTACAGGTGGATATTTTTGGTGATTTGAGGTCTAAGATGGAAAAGGAAATACCTTCACCTACAAACTAGACAGAAGCATTCTCAGAAACTGCTTTGTGATGTGTGCATTAAACTTACAGACTTGAAACCTTATTTTGATAGAGCAGTGTTGAAACACACTTTTTATAGAATCTGCAAGTCTTCATTTGGAGAGCTTTGTTGCCTGTGGTGGAAAAAGAAATGTGTTCACATACAAACTAGAAAGAAGCCTTCTCAGAAACTCCTTTGAGATGTTTGTGTCCAATTCACAAAGTTGAACCTTTCTTTTGATAGAGCAGATTTGAAACACTGCTTTTGTAGAATCTGCTTGCATGTATTTGGAGGTCTTTGAGGAATTGGGCGTATACGGGATATCTTCACATACAAATTACACAGAAGCATTCTCAGAAACTGCTCTGTGATGTGTGCATTCCTCTCACAGAGTTGAAACTTTCTTTTGAGAAAGCTGTTCTGAAACAGTCTTTTTGTAGTATCTGCAAGTGGATATTTGGAGCGATTTGAGGCCTATGATGGAAAAGGAAATATGATCACTTACAAACTAGACAGAAGCATTCTCAGAAACTGCTTTGTGATGTGTGTGTTCAATTCACAGGGTTGACTCTTTCTTTTGATTGAGCAGTTTTGAACCACCTGTTTTGTAGAATCTGCTTGTGGATATTTGTAGCTCTTGGAGGAATTCTTTGTAAAAGGGATATCTTCACATACACACTAGTCAGAAGCATTCTCAGAAACTTCTTTGTGATGTGTGAATTGAACTCACAGAGTTGAACCTTCCTTTTGAGAGAGCCGTTTTGAAACAATCTTTTTGAAGTATCTTCAATTGGATGTTTGTAGTGATTTGAGGCCTAAGATGGAATAGGAAATATCTTCACATACAATCTAGACAGAAGCACTCTCAGAAGCTGCTTGGTGATGTCTGCATTCAACTCACAGACTTGAACCCTTGTTTTGAAAGAGCAGTGTTGAAACACACATTTTGTACGATCTGCAAGTGTTCATTTGGAACGCTGTTGTGCCTATGGTGGATAAAGAAATATCTTCACATAAATACTAGAAAGTAGCATTCTCAGAAACTGCTTTGTGATGTGTGCATTCAACTCACAGAGTTGCACCTTCCTTTTGAGAGAGAGGTTTTGAAACAGTCTTTTTGTAGTATCTGCAAGTGGATATTTTTAGTGATTTGAGGTCTAAGATGGAAAAGGAAATACCTTCACCTACAAACTAGACAGAAGCATTCTCAGAAACTGCTTTGTGATGTGTGCATTAAACTTACAGACTTGAAACTTTATTTTGATAGAGCAGTGTTGAAACACACTTTTTATAGAATCTGCAAGTGTTCATTTGGAGAGCTTTGTTGCCTGTGGTGGAAAAAGGAATATGTTCACCTAGAAACTAGAAAGAAGCCTTCTCAGAAACTCCTTTGAGATGTTTGTGTCCAATTCACAAAGTTGAACCTTTCTTTTGATAGAGCAGATTTGAAACACTGCTTTTGTAGAATCTGCTTGCGGATATTTGGCGGTCTTTGAGGAATTGGGCGTATACGGGAGATCTTCACCTACAAGTTACACAGAAGCATTCTCAGAAACTGCTTTGTGATGTGCGCATTCAACTCACAGAGTTGAAACTTTCTTTTGAGAAAGCAGTTTTGAAACAGTCTTTTTGTAGTATCTGCAAGTGGATATTTGCAGCGATTTGAGGCCTATGATGGAAAAGGAAATATGTTCACATACAAACTAGACAGAAGCATTCTCAGAAACTGCTTTGTGATGTGAGGATTCGACTCACAGGCTTGAAACTTTCTTTTGATAGAGCAGGGTTGAAACACACTTTTTGTAGAATCTGCAAGTGTTCATTTGGAGTGCTTTCCTTGCCCATGGTGGAAAAAGAAATATCTTCACGTAAAAACTAGACAGAAGCATTCTCAGAAACTCCTTTGTGGTGTGTGCTTTCAATTCACAGAGTTGAAACTTTCTTTTGATAGAGCAGTTTTGAAGCACTGCTTTTGTAGAATCTGCTTTTGAATATTTGGAGTTCTTTCAGGAATTCGCTGTAAATGGGATATCTTCACATAGAAACTAGACAGAAGCATTCTCAGAAACTGCTTTGTGATGTGTGCATTCAACTCACAGCAGTTGAAACTTTCTTTTGAGAAAGCAGTTTTGAAACAGTCTTTTTGTAGTATCTGCAAGTGGATATTTGGAGCGATTTGAGGCCTATGATGGAAAAGGAAATATGTTCACATACAAACTAGACAGAAGCGTTCTGAGAAACTGCTTTGTGATGTGTGCATTCACCTCACAGAGTGGAACCTTTCTTTGGATAGAGCAGTTTTGAAACAGTCTTTCTCTAGTATCTGCAAGTGTTCATTTTGAGCGCTTTGAGGCCCATGATGGAAAAGGAAATATTTTCACATTAAAACTAGACAGAAGCTTTCTCAGGAACTTCATTGAGATGTGTGCATTAAAGTAACTGAGTTGAATACGTCTTTTGATAGAGCAGTATTGAAACACTTCTTTTGTAGAATCTGCCTGTGGATATCTGGAACTCTTTGAAGAATTCTTTGGAAACGGCTATCTTCACATAAAAAGTAGACCCAAGCATTCACAGAACGTTCTTTGTGACATGTACATTGGACTCCCAGACTTGAAACTTTCTTTTGATAGAGCAGTGTTGGAACACACTTTTTGTAGAATCTTCATGTGTTCGTTTGGAGTGCTCTGTTGCCTATGGTGGAAAAAGGAATATCTTCACCTAAAAACCAGACAGAAGCATTCTCAGAGACTGCTTTGTGATGTGTGTGTTCAATTCGCAGAGTTGAAAGTTGCTTTGGATAGAGCAGTTTTGAAACACTGCTTTTGTAGAATCTGCTTGTTGCTATTGGGGGCTCTTTGAGGAATTTGTTGTAAACGGGATATCTTCACATACAAAGTAGACAGAAGCATTCTCAGAAACTGCTCTGTGATGTGTGCATTCAACTCACAGAGTTGAACCTTCCTTTTGCGAGAGCTGTTTTGAAGCAGTCTTTTTGTGGTATCTGCAATTGGATATTTGGATCGATTTGAGGCCTAAGATGGAAAAGGAAATATCTTCACATACAAACTAGACAGAAGCATTCTCAGACACTGCGTTGTGATGTGTGCATTCAACTCACAGAGTTGAACCTTCCTTTTGAGAGCAGTTTTGAAACAGTCTTTTTGAAGTATCTGCAAGTGGATGTTTGGAGAGATTTGAGGCCTAAGATGGAAAAGGATATATCTTCACCTAAAAACTAGGCAGAAGCATTCTCAGAAACTGCTTTGTGATGTGGGGATTCAACTCACAGGCTTGAAACTTTCTTTTGATACAGCAGGGTTCAAACACACTTTTTGTAGAATCTGCAAGTGTTCATTTGGAGTGCTTTCTTGCCCATGGTGGAAAAAGAAATATCTTCACGTAAAAACTAGACAGAAACATTCTCAGAAAATACTTTGTGATGTGGTTGTTCAATTCACAGGGTTGAACCTTTCTTTAGATAAAGCAGTTTTGAAACACTGCTTTTGTAGAATCTTCTTGTGGATATTTGGAGCTGTTTGAGGAATTCGTTTTAAACGGGATATCTTCACATTCAAACTAGTCAGAAGCATTCTCAGAAACTGGTTTGTGATGTGTGCATTCTACTCACAGAGTTGAACCTTCCTTTTGAGAGAGCAGTTTTGAAACAATCTTTTTGTATTCTCTACAAGTGGATACTTGGAGCAATGGGAGGACTAAGATTGAAAAGGAAATATCTTCACGGCCAAACTTGACAGAAGCTTTCTCAGAATCTGCTTTGTGATGTGTGCATTTACCTCACAGAGTGGAACCGTCCTTTTGATAGAGCAGTTCTGAAACAGTCTTTTTGTAGGATCTGCGAGTGTTCATTTTGGAGCGCTTTTAAGCCTTTGGCGGAAAAGGAAATATCTTCACAAAAAAACTAGACAGAGGCATGCTCAGGAACTTCACTGAGATGTGTGCATTCAAGTAACTGAGTTGAATCTGCCTTTTGATAGAGCAGAATTGAAACACTCCTTTTGTAGAATCTGCTTGTGGATATTTGGAACTCTTTCAGGAGTTCGTTGGCAGCTGGTATCTTCACAAAAAAAGGAGACCCAAGGATTCTCAAAAAGTTCCTTGAGATGTGTGCCTTAAACTCAAAGACTTCAAACTTTCTTTTGAGAGATCAGTGTTGGAACACGCTTTTTGTAGAATCTGCAAGTGTTCATTTAGTGCGCTTTGTTGCCTATGGTGGAAAAAGAAATATCTTCAAATGAAAACTAGACAGAAACATTCTCAGAAACTCCTTTGTGAAGTGTGTGTCAAATTCACAGAATTGAAATATTCCTTTGATAGCGCAGCTTTGAAACACCGCTTTTATAGGATCTGCTTGTGGATATCTGGAGCTCTTTGAGGAATTTGTTGTAAACGGGATATCTTCACATACAAAGTAGACAGAAGCATTCTCAGAAACTGCTTTGTGATGTGTGCATTCCAATCACAGACTTCAACCTTTCTTTTGAAAGAGCAGTGTTCAAACACACATTTTGTAGGATGTGCAAGTGTTCACTTGGAGCGCTTTTTTGCCTATGGTGGAAAAAGAAATATCTTCACATAAATACTAGACAGAAGCATTCTCAGAAACGCCTTAGTGATGTGTTTGTTCTATTCAGAGAGTTGAACCTTTCTTTTGATAGAGCAGTTTTGATACACTGCTTCTGTAGAATCTGCTTGTGGATATTTGGAGCTCTTTGAGGAATTCGTTGTAAACGGGATATCTTCACATACAAACTAGACAGAAGCATTCTCAGAAACTGCTTTGTGGTGTGTGCATTCAACTCACAGAGTTGAACCTTCCTTCTGAGAGAGCAGTTTTTAAACAGTCTCTTTGAAATATCTGCAAGTGGATATTTGGAGCGATGGGAAGTCTAAGTTTGAAAAGGAAATATCCTCACATACAAACTAGACAGAAGCAATCTCATTAACTGCTTTGCGATGTGTGCATTCAGCTCACAGAGTTGAACCTTCCTTTTGAGAGAGCAGTTTTGAAACAGTTTTTTGTAGTATCCTCAAGTGGATATATGGAGCGATGTGAGGCTTAAGATGGAAACGGGAATATCTTCACATGCAAACTAGAAAGAAGCATTCTCAGAAACTGCTTTGTGATGGGTGCATTCAACTCAGAGACTTGAACATTTCTTTAGACGGAGCAGTGTTGAAACACACATATGCAGAATCTGCAAGAGTTCATTTGGAGCGCTTTGATGCCTATGGTGGAAAAAGAAATATCTTCACATAAAGACTAGAAAGAAGCGTTCTCCGAAACTCCTTTGTGATATATGTGTTCAGTTCACAGAGTTGAACCTTTCTTTTGATTGAGCAGTTTTGAAACACTGCTTTTCTAGAATCTGCTTTTGGATATTTGAAGCTCTTTGACGAATTCGCTGTCAATGTTATATCTTCACATACAAACTAGACAGAAGCATTCTCAGAAACTGCTTTTTGATGTGTGCATTCAACACACGGAGTTGAACCTTCCTTCTGAGAACAGTTTTGAAGCAGTCTTTTTGTGGTATCTGCAAGTCGATATTTGGAACGATTTGGGACCTATGAGGGAAAAGGAACTATCTTCACATACAAGCTAGACAGAAGCATACTCAGAAACTGCTTTGTGATGTGTGCATTCAACTCACAGAGTTGAGCCTTCCTTTTGAGAGAGAGGTTTTGAAACAGTCTTTTTGTAGTATATACAAGTGGATATTTTTAGTGATTTGAGGTCTAAGATGGAAAAGGAAATACCTTCACCTACAAACTAGACAGAAGCATTCTCAGAAACTGCTTTGTGATGTGTGCATTAAACTTACAGACTTGAAACCTTATTTTGATAGAGCAGTGTTGAAACACACTTTTTATAGAATCTGCAAGTGTTCATTTGGAGAGCTTTGTTGCCTGTGGTGGAAAAAGAAATGTGTTCACATACAAACTAGAAAGAAGCCTTCTCAGAAACTCCTTTGAGATGTTTGTGTCCAATTCACAAAGTTGAACCTTTCTTTTGATAGAGCAGATTTGAAACACTGCTTTTGTAGAATCTGCTTGCGTGTATTTGGAGGTCTTTGAGGAATTGGGCGTATACGGGATATCTTCACATACAAATTACACAGAAGCATTCTCAGCAAACTGCTCTGTGATGTGTGCATTCAACTAACAGAGTTGAAACTTTCTTTGGAGAAAGCAGTTCTGAAACAGTCTTTTTGTAGTATCTGCAAGTGGATACTTGGAGCGATTTGAGGCCTATGATGGAAAAGGAAATATGTTCACTTACAAACTAGACAGAAGCATTCTCAGAAACTGCTTTGTGATGTGTGTGTTCAATTCACAGGGTTGACTCTTTCTTTTGATTGAGCAGTTTTGAACCACCTGTTTTGTAGAATCTGCTTGTGGATATTTGTAGCTCTTGGAGGAATTCTTTGTAAAAGGGATATCTTCACATACACACTAGTCAGAAGCATTCTCAGAAACTTCTTTGTGATGTGTGAATTGAACTCACAGAGTTGAACCTTCCTTTTGAGAGAGCCGTTTTGAAACAATCTTTTTGAAGTATCTTCAATTGGATGTTTGTAGTGATTTGAGGCCTAAGATGGAATAGGAAATATCTTCACATACAATCTAGACAGAAGCACTCTCAGAAGCTGCTTGGTGATGTCTGCATTCAACTCACAGACTTGAACCCTTGTTTTGAAAGAGCAGTGTTGAAACACACATTTTGTACGATCTGCAAGTGTTCATTTGGAACGCTGTTGTGCCTATGGTGGATAAAGAAATATCTTCACATAAATACTAGAAAGTAGCATTCTCAGAAACTGCTTTGTGATGTGTGCATTCAACTCACAGAGTTGCACCTTCCTTTTGAGAGAGAGGTTTTGAAACAGTCTTTTTGTAGTATCTGCAAGTGGATATTTTTAGTGATTTGAGGTCTAAGATGGAAAAGGAAATACCTTCACCTGCAAACTAGACAGAAGCATTCTCAGAAACTGCTTTGTGATGTGTGCATTAAACTTACAGACTTGAAACTTTATTTTGATAGAGCAGTGTTGAAACACACTTTTTATAGAATCTGCAAGTGTTCATTTGGAGAGCTTTGTTGCCTGTGGTGGAAAAAGGAATATGTTCACCTAGAAACTAGAAAGAAGCCTTCTCAGAAACTCCTTTGAGATGTTTGTGTCCAATTCACAAAGTTGAACCTTTCTTTTGATAGAGCAGATTTGAAACACTGCTTTTGTAGAATCTGCTTGCGGATATTTGGCGGTCTTTTAGGAATTGGGCGTATACGGGAGATCTTCACATACAAGTTACACAGAAGCATTCTCAGAAACTGCTTTGTGATGTGTGCATTCAACTCACAGAGTTGAAACTTTCTTTTGAGAAAGCAGTTTTGAAACAGTCTTTTTGTAGTATCTGCAAGTGGATATTTGGAGCGATTTGAGGCCTATGATGGAAAAGGAAATATGTTCACATACAAACTAGACAGAAGCGTTCTGAGAAACTGCTTTGTGATGTGTGCATTCACCTCACAGAGTGGAACCTTTCTTTGGATAGAGCAGTTTTGAAACAGTCTTTCTCTAGTATCTGCAAGTGTTCATTTTGAGCGCTTTGAGGCCCATGATGGAAAAGGAAATATTTTCACATAAAAACTAGACAGAAGCTTTCTCAGGAACTTCATTGAGATGTGTGCATTAAAGTAACTGAGTTGAATACGTCTTTTGATAGAGCAGTATTGAAACACTTCTTTTGTAGAATCTGCCTGTGGATATCTGGAACTCTTTGAAGAATTCTTTGGAAACGGCTATCTTCACATAAAAAGTAGACCCAAGCATTCACAGAACGTTCTTTGTGACATGTACATTGGACTCCCAGACTTGAAACTTTCTTTTGATAGAGCAGTGTTGGAACACACTTTTTGTAGAATCTTCATGTGTTCGTTTGGAGTGCTCTGTTGCCTATGGTGGAAAAAGGAATATCTTCACCTAAAAACCAGACAGAAGCATTCTCAGAGACTGCTTTGTGATGTGTGTGTTCAATTCGCAGAGTTGAAAGTTGCTTTTGATAGAGCAGTTTTGAAACACTGCTTTTGTAGAATCGGCTTGTTGCTATTGGGGGCTCTTTGAGGAATTTGTTGTAAACGGGATATCTTCACATACAAACTAGACAGAAGCATTCTCAGAAACTGCTCTGTGATGTGTGCATTCAACTCACAGAGTTGAACCTTCCTTTTGCGAGAGCTGTTTTGAAGCAGTCTTTTTGTGGTATCTGCAATTGGATATTTGGATCGATTTGAGGCCTAAGATGGAAAAGGAAATATCTTCACATACAAACTAGACAGAAGCATTCTCAGACACTGCGTTGTGATGTGTGCATTCAACTCACAGAGTTGAACCTTCCTTTTGAGAGCAGTTTTGAAACAGTCTTTTTGAAGTATCTGCAAGTGGATGTTTGGAGAGATTTGAGGCCTAAGATGGAAAAGGATATATCTTCACCTAAAAACTAGGCAGAAGCATTCTCAGAAACTGCTTTGTGATGTGGGGATTCAACTCACAGCCTTGAAACTTTCTTTTGATAGAGCAGGGTTCAAACACACTTTTTGTAGAATCTGCAAGTGTTCATTTGGAGTGCTTTCTTGCCCATGGTGGAAAAAGAAATATCTTCACGTAAAAACTAGACAGAAACATTCTCAGAAAATACTTTGTGATGTGGTTGTTCAATTCACAGGGTTGAACCTTTCTTTAGATAAAACAGTTTTGAAACACTGCTTTTGTAGAATCTTCTTGTGGATATTTGGAGCTGTTTGAGGAATTCGTTTTAAACGGGATATCTTCACATTCAAACTAGTCAGAAGCATTCTCAGAAACTGGTTTGTGATGTGTGCATTCTACTCACAGAGTTGAACCTTCCTTTTGAGAGAGCAGTTTTGAAACAATCTTTTTGTATTCTCTACAAGTGGATACTTGGAGCAATGGGAGGACTAAGATTGAAAAGGAAATATCTTCACGGCCAAACTTGACAGAAGCTTTCTCAGAATCTGCTTTGTGATGTGTGCATTTACCTCACAGAGTGGAACCGTCCTTTTGATAGAGCAGTTCTGAAACAGTCTTTTTGTAGGATCTGCGAGTGTTCATTTTGGAGCGCTTTTAAGCCTTTGGCGGAAAAGGAAATATCTTCACAAAAAAACTAGACAGAGGCATGCTCAGGAACTTCACTGAGATGTGTGCATTCAAGTAACTGAGTTGAATCTGCCTTTTGATAGAGCAGAATTGAAACACTCCTTTTGTAGAATCTGCTTGTGGATATTTGGAACTCTTTCAGGAGTTCGTTGGCAGCTGGTATCTTCACAAAAAAAGGAGACCCAAGGATTCTCAAAAAGTTCCTTGAGATGTGTGCCTTAAACTCACAGACTTCAAACTTTCTTTTGAGAGATCAGTGTTGGAACACGCTTTTTGTAGAATCTGCAAGTGTTCATTTAGTGCGCTTTGTTGCCTATGGTGGAAAAAGAAATATCTTCAAATGAAAACTAGACAGAAACATTCTCAGAAACTCCTTTGTGAAGTGTGTGTCAAATTCACAGAATTGAAATATTCCTTTGATAGCGCAGCTTTGAAACACCGCTTTTATAGGATCTGCTTGTGGATATCTGGAGCTCTTTGAGGAATTTGTTGTAAACGGGATATCTTCACATACAAAGTAGACAGAAGCATTCTCAGAAACTGCTTTGTGATGTGTGCATTCCAATCACAGACTTCAACCTTTCTTTTGAAAGAGCAGTGTTCAAACACACATTTTGTAGGATGTGCAAGTGTTCACTTGGAGCGCTTTTTTGCCTATGGTGGAAAAAGAAATATCTTCACATAAATACTAGACAGAAGCATTCTCAGAAACGCCTTAGTGATGTGTTTGTTCTATTCAGAGAGTTGAACCTTTCTTTTGATAGAGCAGTTTTGATACACTGCTTCTGTAGAATCTGCTTGTGGATATTTGGAGCTCTTTGAGGAATTCGTTGTAAACGGGATATCTTCACATACAAACTAGACAGAAGCATTCTCAGAAACTGCTTTGTGGTGTGTGCATTCAACTCACAGAGTTGAACCTTCCTTCTGAGAGAGCAGTTTTTAAACAGTCTCTTTGAAATATCTGCAAGTGGATATTTGGAGCGATGGGAAGTCTAAGTTTGAAAAGGAAATATCCTCACATACAAACTAGACAGAAGCAATCTCATTAACTGCTTTGCGATGTGTGCATTCAGCTCACAGAGTTGAACCTTCCTTTTGAGAGAGCAGTTTTGAAACAGTTTTTTGTAGTATCCTCAAGTGGATATATGGAGCGATGTGAGGCTTAAGATGGAAACGGGAATATCTTCACATGCAAACTAGAAAGAAGCATTCTCAGAAACTGCTTTGTGATGGGTGCATTCAACTCAGAGACTTGAACATTTCTTTAGACGGAGCAGTGTTGAAACACACATATGCAGAATCTGCAAGAGTTCATTTGGAGCGCTTTGATGCCTATGGTGGAAAAAGAAATATCTTCACATAAAGACTAGAAAGAAGCGTTCTCCGAAACTCCTTTGTGATATATGTGTTCAGTTCACAGAGTTGAACCTTTCTTTTGATTGAGCAGTTTTGAAACACTGCTTTTCTAGAATCTGCTTTTCGATATTTGAAGCTCTTTGACGAATTCACTGTCAATGTTATATCTTCACATACAAACTAGACAGAAGCATTCTCAGAAACTGCTTTTTGATGTGTGCATTCAACACACGGAGTTGAACCTTCCTTCTGAGAACAGTTTTGAAGCAGTCTTTTTGTGGTATCTGCAAGTCGATATTTGGAACGATTTGGGACCTATGAGGGAAAAGGAACTATCTTCACATACAAGCTAGACAGAAGCATACTCAGAAACTGTTTTGTGATGTGTGCATTCAACTCACAGAGTTGAGCCTTCCTTTTGAGAGAGAGGTTTTGAAACAGTCTTTTTGTAGTATATACAAGTGGATATTTTTAGTGATTTGAGGTCTAATATGGAAAAGGAAATACCTTCACCTACAAACTAGACAGAAGCATTCTCAGAAACTGCTTTGTGATGTGTGCATTAAACTTACAGAGTTGAAACCTTATTTTCATATAGCAGTGTTGAAACACACTTTTTATAGAACCTGCAAGTGTTCATTTGGAGAGCTTTGTTGCCTGTGGTGGAAAAAGAAATGTGTTCACATACAAACTAGAAAGAAGCCTTCTCAGAAACTCCTTTGAGATGTTTGTGTCTAATTCACAAAGTTGAACCTTTCTTTTGATAGAGCAGATTTGCAACACTGCTTTTGTAGAATCTGCTTGCGTGTATTTGGAGGTCTTTGAGGAATTGGGCGTATACGGGATATCTTCACATACAAATTACACAGAAGCATTCTCAGAAACTGCTCTGTGATGTGTGCATTCAACTAACAGAGTTGAAACTTTCTTTGGAGAAAGCAGTTCTGAAACAGTCTTTTTGTAGTATCTGCAAGTGGATACTTGGAGCGATTTGAGGCCTATGATGGAAAAGGAAATATGTTCACTTACAAACTAGACAGAAGCATTCTCAGAAACTGCTTTGTGATGTGTGTGTTCAATTCACAGGGTTGACTCTTTCTTTTGATTGAGCAGTTTTGAACCACCTGTTTTGTAGAATCTGCTTGTGGATATTTGTAGCTCTTGGAGGAATTCTTTGTAAAAGGGATATCTTCACATACACACTAGTCAGAAGCATTCTCAGAAACTTCTTTGTGATGTGTGAATTGAACTCACAGAGTTGAACCTTCCTTTTGAGAGAGCCGTTTTGAAACAATCTTTTTGAAGTATCTTCAATTGGATGTTTGTAGTGATTTGAGGCCTAAGATGGAATAGGAAATATCTTCACATACAATCTAGACAGAAGCACTCTCAGAAGCTGCTTGGTGATGTCTGCATTCAACTCACAGACTTGAACCCTTGTTTTGAAAGAGCAGTGTTGAAACACACATTTTGTACGATCTGCAAGTGTTCATTTGGAACGCTGTTGTGCCTATGGTGGATAAAGAAATATCTTCACATAAATACTAGAAAGTAGCATTCTCAGAAACTGCTTTGTGATGTGTGCATTCAACTCACAGAGTTGCACCTTCCTTTTGAGAGAGAGGTTTTGAAACAGTCTTTTTGTAGTATCTGCAAGTGGATATTTTTAGTGATTTGAGGTCTAAGATGGAAAAGGAAATACCTTCACCTACAAACTAGACAGAAGCATTCTCAGAAACTGCTTTGTGATGTGTGCATTAAACTTACAGACTTGAAACTTTATTTTGATAGAGCAGTGTTGAAACACACTTTTTATAGAATCTGCAAGTGTTCATTTGGAGAGCTTTGTTGCCTGTGGTGGAAAAAGGAATATGTTCACCTAGAAACTAGAAAGAAGCCTTCTCAGAAACTCCTTTGAGATGTTTGTGTCCAATTCACAAAGTTGAACCTTTCTTTTGATAGAGCAGATTTGAAACACTGCTTTTGTAGAATCTGCTTGCGGATATTTGGCGGTCTTTTAGGAATTGGGCATATACGGGAGATCTTCACATACAAGTTACACAGAAGCATTCTCAGAAACTGCTTTGTGATGTGTGCATTCAACTCACAGAGTTGAAACTTTCTTTTGAGAAAGCAGTTTTGAAACAGTCTTTTTGTAGTATCTGCAAGTGGATATTTGGAGCGATTTGAGGCCTATGATGGAAAAGGAAATATGTTCACATACAAACTAGACAGAAGCGTTCTGAGAAACTGCTTTGTGATGTGTGCATTCACCTCACAGAGTGGAACCTTTCTTTGGATAGAGCAGTTTTGAAACAGTCTTTCTCTAGTATCTGCAAGTGTTCATTTTGAGCGCTTTGAGGCCCATGATGGAAAAGGAAATATTTTCACATAAAAACTAGACAGAAGCTTTCTCAGGAACTTCATTGAGATGTGTGCATTAAAGTAACTGAGTTGAATACGTCTTTTGATAGAGCAGTATTGAAACACTTCTTTTGTAGAATCTGCCTGTGGATATCTGGAACTCTTTGAAGAATTCTTTGGAAACGGCTATCTTCACATAAAAAGTAGACCCAAGCATTCACAGAACGTTCTTTGTGACATGTACATTGGACTCCCAGACTTGAAACTTTCTTTTGATAGAGCAGTGTTGGAACACACTTTTTGTAGAATCTTCATGTGTTCGTTTGGAGTGCTCTGTTGCCTATGGTGGAAAAAGGAATATCTTCACCTAAAAACCAGACAGAAGCATTCTCAGAGACTGCTTTGTGATGTGTGTGTTCAATTCGCAGAGTTGAAAGTTGCTTTGGATAGAGCAGTTTTGAAACACTGCTTTTGTAGAATCTGCTTGTTGCTATTGGGGGCTCTTTGAGGAATTTGTTGTAAACGGGATATCTTCACATACAAAGTAGACAGAAGCATTCTCAGAAACTGCTCTGTGATGTGTGCATTCAACTCACAGAGTTGAACCTTCCTTTTGCGAGAGCTGTTTTGAAGCAGTCTTTTTGTGGTATCTGCAATTGGATATTTGGATCGATTTGAGGCCTAAGATGGAAAAGGAAATATCTTCACATACAAACTAGACAGAAGCATTCTCAGACACTGCGTTGTGATGTGTGCATTCAACTCACAGAGTTGAACCTTCCTTTTGAGAGCAGTTTTGAAACAGTCTTTTTGAAGTATCTGCAAGTGGATGTTTGGAGAGATTTGAGGCCTAAGATGGAAAAGGATATATCTTCACCTAAAAACTAGGCAGAAGCATTCTCAGAAACTGCTTTGTGATGTGAGGATTCGACTCACAGGCTTGAAACTTTCTTTTGATAGAGCAGGGTTGAAACACACTTTTTGTAGAATCTGCAAGTGTTCATTTGGAGTGCTTTCTTGCCCATGGTGGAAAAAGAAATATCTTCACGTAAAAACTAGACAGAAACATTCTCAGAAAATACTTTGTGATGTAGTTGTTCAATTCACAGGGTTGAAACTTTCTTTAGATAAAGCAGTTTTGAAACACTGCTTTTGTAGAATCTTCTTGTGGATATTTGGAGCTGTTTGAGGAATTCGTTTTAAACGGGATATCTTCACATTCAAACTAGTCAGAAACATTCTCAGAAACTGGTTTGTGATGTGTGCATTCTACTCACAGAGTTGAACCTTCCTTTTGAGAGAGCAGTTTTGAAACAATCTTTTTGTATTCTCTACAAGTGGATACTTGGAGCAAGGGAGACTAAGATTGAAAAGGAAATATCTTCACGGCCAAACTTGACAGAAGCTTTCTCAGAATCTGCTTTGTGATGTGTGCATTCACCTCACAGAGTGGAACCGTCCTTTTGATAGAGCAGTTCTGAAACAGTCTTTTTGTAGGATCTGCGAGTGTTCATTCTGGTGCGCTTTTAAGCCTTTGGCGGAAAAGGAAATATCTTCACAAAAAACTAGACAGAGGCATGCTCAGGAACTTCATTGAGATGTGTGCATTCAAGTAACTGAGTTGAATCTGCCTTTTGATAGAGCAGAATTGAAACACTCCTTTTGTAGAATATGCTTGTGGATATTTGGAACTCTTTCAGGAATTCGTTGGAAGCTGGTATCTTCCCAAAAAAAGGAAACCCAAGCATTCTCAAAAAGTTGTTTGAGATGTGTGCCTTAAACTCACAGACTTCAAACTTTCTTTTGAGAGATCAGTGTTGGAACACGCTTTTTGTAGAATCTGCAAGTGTTCATTTAGTGCGCTCTGTTGCCTATGGTGGAAAAAGAAATATCTTCAAATGAAAACTAGACAGAAACATTCTCAGAAACTCCTTTGTGAAGTGTTTGTCAAATTCACAGAATTGAAATTTTCTTTTGATAGAGCAGTTTTGAAACACCGCTTTCATAGGATCTGCTTGTGGATATTTCGAGCTCTTTGAGGATTTCGTTGTAAACGGGATATCTTCACATACAAACTAGGCAGAAGAATTCTCAGAAACTGCTTTGTGATGTGTGCATTCAACTCACAGACTTGAACCTTTCTTTTGAAAGAGCAGTGTTGAAACACACATTTTGTAGGATGTGCAAGTGTTCACTTGGAGCGCTTTTTTGCCTATGGTGGAAAAAGCAATATCTTCACATAAATAGTAGACAGAAGCATTCTCAGAAACGCCTTAGTGATGTGTTTGTTCTATTCAGAGAGTTGAACCTTTCTTTTGATAGAGCAGTTTTGATACACTGCTTCTGTAGAATCTGCTTGTGGATATTTGGAGCTCTTTGAGGAATTCGTTGTAAACGGGATATCTTCACATACAAACTAGACAGAAGCATTCTCAGAAACTGCTTTGTGGTGTGTGCATTCAACTCACAGAGTTGAACCTTCCTTCTGAGAGAGCAGTTTTTAAACAGTCTCTTTGAAATATCTGCAAGTGGATATTTGGAGCGATGGGAAGTCTAAGTTTGAAAAGGAAATATCCTCACATACAAACTAGACAGAAGCAATCTCATTAACTGCTTTGCGATGTGTGCATTCAGCTCACAGAGTTGAACCTTCCTTTTGAGAGAGCAGTTTTGAAACAGTTTTTTGTAGTATCCTCAAGTGGATATATGGAGCGATGTGAGGCTTAAGATGGAAACGGGAATATCTTCACATGCAAACTAGAAAGAAGCATTCTCAGAAACTGCTTTGTGATGGGTGCATTCAACTCAGAGACTTGAACATTTCTTTAGACGGAGCAGTGTTGAAACACACATATGCAGAATCTGCAAGAGTTCATTTGGAGCGCTTTGATGCCTATGGTGGAAAAAGAAATATCTTCACATAAAGACTAGAAAGAAGCGTTCTCCGAAACTCCTTTGTGATATATGTGTTCAGTTCACAGAGTTGAACCTTTCTTTTGATTGAGCAGTTTTGAAACACTGCTTTTCTAGAATCTGCTTTTGGATATTTGAAGCTCTTTGACGAATTCGCTGTCAATGTTATATCTTCACATACAAACTAGACAGAAGCATTCTCAGAAACTGCTTTTTGATGTGTGCATTCAACACACGGAGTTGAACCTTCCTTCTGAGAACAGTTTTGAAGCAGTCTTTTTGTGGTATCTGCAAGTCGATATTTGGAACGATTTGGGACCTATGAGGGAAAAGGAACTATCTTCACATACAAGCTAGACAGAAGCATACTCAGAAACTGCTTTGTGATGTGTGCATTCAACTCACAGAGTTGAGCCTTCCTTTTGAGAGAGAGGTTTTGAAACAGTCTTTTTGTAGTATATACAAGTGGATATTTTTAGTGATTTGAGGTCTAATATGGAAAAGGAAATACCTTCACCTACAAACTAGACAGAAGCATTCTCAGAAACTGCTTTGTGATGTGTGCATTAAACTTACAGACTTGAAACCTTATTTTGATATAGCAGTGTTGAAACACACTTTTTATAGAACCTGCAAGTGTTCATTTGGAGAGCTTTGTTGCCTGTGGTGGAAAAAGAAATGTGTTCACATACAAACTAGAAAGAAGCCTTCTCAGAAACTCCTTTGAGATGTTTGTGTCTAATTCACAAAGTTGAACCTTTCTTTTGATAGAGCAGTTTTGAAACACTGCTTTTGTAGAATCTGCTTGCGTGTATTTGGAGGTCTTTGAGGAATTGGGCGTATACGGGATATCTTCACATACAAATTACACAGAAGCATTCTCAGAAACTGCTCTGTGATGTGTGCATTCAACTAACAGAGTTGAAACTTTCTTTGGAGAAAGCAGTTCTGAAACAGTCTTTTTGTAGTATCTGCAAGTGGATACTTGGAGCGATTTGAGGCCTATGATGGAAAGGGAAATATGTTCACTTACAAACTAGACAGAAGCATTCTCAGAAACTGCTTTGTGATGTGTGTGTTCAATTCACAGGGTTGACTCTTTCTTTTGATTGAGCAGTTTTGAACCACCTGTTTTGTAGAATCTGCTTGTGGATATTTGTAGCTCTTGGAGGAATTCTTTGTAAAAGGGATATCTTCACATACACACTAGTCAGAAGCATTCTCAGAAACTTCTTTGTGATGTGTGAATTGAACTCACAGAGTTGAACCTTCCTTTTGAGAGAGCCGTTTTGAAACAATCTTTTTGAAGTATCTTCAATTGGATGTTTGTAGTGATTTGAGGCCTAAGATGGAATAGGAAATATCTTCACATACAATCTAGACAGAAGCACTCTCAGAAGCTGCTTGGTGATGTCTGCATTCAACTCACAGACTTGAACCCTTGTTTTGCAAGAGCAGTGTTGAAACACACATTTTGTACGATCTGCAAGTGTTCATTTGGAACGCTGTTGTGCCTATGGTGGATAAAGAAATATCTTCACATAAATACTAGAAAGTAGCATTCTCAGAAACTGCTTTGTGATGTGTGCATTCAACTCACAGAGTTGCACCTTCCTTTTGAGAGAGAGGTTTTGAAACAGTCTTTTTGTAGTATCTGCAAGTGGATATTTTTAGTGATTTGAGGTCTAAGATGGAAAAGGAAATACCTTCACCTACAAACTAGACAGAAGCATTCTCAGAAACTGCTTTGTGATGTGTGCATTAAACTTACAGACTTGAAACTTTATTTTGATAGAGCAGTGTTGAAACACACTTTTTATAGAATCTGCAAGTGTTCATTTGGAGAGCTTTGTTGCCTGTGGTGGAAAAAGGAATATGTTCACCTAGAAACTAGAAAGAAGCCTTCTCAGAAACTCCTTTGAGATGTTTGTGTCCAATTCACAAAGTTGAACCTTTCTTTTGATAGAGCAGATTTGGAACACTGCTTTTGTAGAATCTGCTTGCGGATATTTGGCGGTCTTTGAGGAATTGGGCGTATACGGGAGATCTTCACATACAAGTTACACAGAAGCATTCTCAGAAACTGCTTTGTGATGTGTGCATTCAACTCACAGAGTTGAAACTTTCTTTTGAGAAAGCAGTTTTGAAACAGTCTTTTTGTAGTATCTGCAAGTGGATATTTGGAGCGATTTGAGGCCTATGATGGAAAAGGAAATATGTTCACATACAAACTAGACAGAAGCGTTCTGAGAAACTGCTTTGTGATGTGTGCATTCACCTCACAGAGTGGAACCTTTCTTTGGATAGAGCAGTTTTGAAACAGTCTTTCTCTAGTATCTGCAAGTGTTCATTTTGAGCGCTTTGAGGCCCATGATGGAAAAGGAAATATTTTCACATAAAAACTAGACAGAAGCTTTCTCAGGAACTTCATTGAGATGTGTGCATTAAAGTAACTGAGTTGAATACGTCTTTTGATAGAGCAGTATTGAAACACTTCTTTTGTAGAATCTGCCTGTGGATATCTGGAACTCTTTGAAGAATTCTTTGGAAACGGCTATCTTCACATAAAAAGTAGACCCAAGCATTCACAGAACGTTCTTTGTGACATGTACATTGGACTCCCAGACTTGAAACTTTCTTTTGATAGAGCAGTGTTGGAACACACTTTTTGTAGAATCTTCATGTGTTCGTTTGGAGTGCTCTGTTGCCTATGGTGGAAAAAGGAATATCTTCACCTAAAAACCAGACAGAAGCATTCTCAGAGACTGCTTTGTGATGTGTGTGTTCAATTCGCAGAGTTGAAAGTTGCTTTTGATAGAGCAGTTTTGAAACACTGCTTTTGTAGAATCTGCTTGTTGCTATTGGGGGCTCTTTGAGGAATTTGTTGTAAACGGGATATCTTCACATACAAAGTAGACAGAAGCATTCTCAGAAACTGCTCTGTGATGTGTGCATTCAACTCACAGAGTTGAACCTTCCTTTTGCGAGAGCTGTTTTGAAGCAGTCTTTTTGTGGTATCTGCAATTGGATATTTGGATCGATTTGAGGCCTAAGATGGAAAAGGAAATATCTTCACATACAAACTAGACAGAAGCATTCTCAGACACTGCGTTGTGATGTGTGCATTCAACTCACAGAGTTGAACCTTCCTTTTGAGAGCAGTTTTGAAACAGTCTTTTTGAAGTATCTGCAAGTGGATGTTTGGAGAGATTTGAGGCCTAAGATGGAAAAGGATATATCTTCACCTAAAAACTAGGCAGAAGCATTCTCAGAAACTGCTTTGTGATGTGGGGATTCAACTCACAGGCTTGAAACTTTCTTTTGATAGAGCAGGGTTCAAACACACTTTTTGTAGAATCTGCAAGTGTTCATTTGGAGTGCTTTCTTGCCCATGGTGGAAAAAGAAATATCTTCACGTAAAAACTAGACAGAAACATTCTCAGAAAATACTTTGTGATGTGGTTGTTCAATTCACAGGGTTGAACCTTTCTTTAGATAAAGCAGTTTTGAAACACTGCTTTTGTAGAATCTTCTTGTGGATATTTGGAGCTGTTTGAGGAATTCGTTTTAAACGGGATATCTTCACATTCAAACTAGTCAGAAGCTTTCTCAGAAACTTCTTTGTGATGTGTGAATTGAATTCACAGAGTTGAATCTTCCTTTTGAGAGAGCCGTTTTGAAACAATCTTTTTGAAGTATCTTCAATTGGATGTTTGTAGTGATTTGAGGCCTAAGATGGAAAAGGAAATATCTTCACGGCCAAACTTGACAGAAGCTTTCTCAGAATCTGCTTTGTGATGTGTGCATTTACCTCACAGAGTGGAACCGTCCTTTTGATAGAGCAGTTCTGAAACAGTCTTTTTGTAGGATCTGCGAGTGTTCATTTTGGAGCGCTTTTAAGCCTTTGGCGGAAAAGGAAATATCTTCACAAAAAAACTAGACAGAGGCATGCTCAGGAACTTCACTGAGATGTGTGCATTCAAGTAACTGAGTTGAATCTGCCTTTTGATAGAGCAGAATTGAAACACTCCTTTTGTAGAATCTGCTTGTGGATATTTGGAACTCTTTCAGGAGTTCGTTGGCAGCTGGTATCTTCACAAAAAAAGGAGACCCAAGGATTCTCAAAAAGTTCCTTGAGATGTGTGCCTTAAACTCACAGACTTCAAACTTTCTTTTGAGAGATCAGTGTTGGAACACGCTTTTTGTAGAATCTGCAAGTGTTCATTTAGTGCGCTTTGTTGCCTATGGTGGAAAAAGAAATATCTTCAAATGAAAACTAGACAGAAACATTCTCAGAAACTCCTTTGTGAAGTGTGTGTCAAATTCACAGAATTGAAATATTCCTTTGATAGCGCAGCTTTGAAACACCGCTTTTATAGGATCTGCTTGTGGATATCTGGAGCTCTTTGAGGAATTTGTTGTAAACGGGATATCTTCACATACAAAGTAGACAGAAGCATTCTCAGAAACTGCTTTGTGATGTGTGCATTCCAATCACAGACTTCAACCTTTCTTTTGAAAGAGCAGTGTTCAAACACACATTTTGTAGGATGTGCAAGTGTTCACTTGGAGCGCTTTTTTGCCTATGGTGGAAAAAGAAATATCTTCACATAAATACTAGACAGAAGCATTCTCAGAAACGCCTTAGTGATGTGTTTGTTCTATTCAGAGAGTTGAACCTTTCTTTTGATAGAGCAGTTTTGATACACTGCTTCTGTAGAATCTGCTTGTGGATATTTGGAGCTCTTTGAGGAATTCGTTGTAAACGGGATATCTTCACATACAAACTAGACAGAAGCATTCTCAGAAACTGCTTTGTGGTGTGTGCATTCAACTCACAGAGTTGAACCTTCCTTCTGAGAGAGCAGTTTTTAAACAGTCTCTTTGAAATATCTGCAAGTGGATATTTGGAGCGATGGGAAGTCTAAGTTTGAAAAGGAAATATCCTCACATACAAACTAGACAGAAGCAATCTCATTAACTGCTTTGCGATGTGTGCATTCAGCTCACAGAGTTGAACCTTCCTTTTGAGAGAGCAGTTTTGAAACAGTTTTTTGTAGTATCCTCAAGTGGATATATGGAGCGATGTGAGGCTTAAGATGGAAACGGGAATATCTTCACATGCAAACTAGAAAGAAGCATTCTCAGAAACTGCTTTGTGATGGGTGCATTCAACTCAGAGACTTGAACATTTCTTTAGACGGAGCAGTGTTGAAACACACATATGCAGAATCTGCAAGAGTTCATTTGGAGCGCTTTGATGCCTATGGTGGAAAAAGAAATATCTTCACATAAAGACTAGAAAGAAGCGTTCTCCGAAACTCCTTTGTGATATATGTGTTCAGTTCACAGAGTTGAACCTTTCTTTTGATTGAGCAGTTTTGAAACACTGCTTTTCTAGAATCTGCTTTTGGATATTTGAAGCTCTTTGACGAATTCACTGTCAATGTTATATCTTCACATACAAACTAGACAGAAGCATTCTCAGAAACTGCTTTTTGATGTGTGCATTCAACACACGGAGTTGAACCTTCCTTCTGAGAACAGTTTTGAAGCAGTCTTTTTGTGGTATCTGCAAGTCGATATTTGGAACGATTTGGGACCTATGAGGGAAAAGGAACTATCTTCACGTACAAGCTAGACAGAAGCATTCTCAGAAACTGCTTTGTGATGTGTGCATTCAACACACGGAGTTGAACCTTCCTTCTGAGAGAACAGTTTTGAAACAGTCTTTTTGTAGTATCTGCAAGTCGATATTTGGAATGCTTTGAGGCCTATGAGGGAAAAGGAACTATCTTCACATACAAACTAGACAGAAGCATGCTCAGAAACTGCTTTGTGATGCGTGCATTCAACTCACAGAGTTGAACCTTCCTTTTGAGAGAGACGTTTTGAAACAGTCTTTTTGTAGTATGTACAGGTAGATATTTTTGGTGATTTGAGGTCTAAGATGGAAAAGGAAATACCTTCACCTACAAACTAGACAGAAGCATTCTCAGAAACTGCTTTGTGATGTGTGCATTAAACTTACAGACTTGAAACCTTATTTTGATAGAGCAGTGTTGAAACACACTTTTTATAGAATCTGCAAGTGTTCATTTGGAGAGCTTTGTTGCCTGTGGTGGAAAAAGAAATGTGTTCACATACAAACTAGAAAGAAGCCTTCTCAGAAACTCCTTTGAGATGTTTGTGTCCAATTCACAAAGTTGAACCTTTCTTTTGATAGAGCAGATTTGAAACACTGCTTTTGTAGAATCTGCTTGCGTGTATTTGGAGGGCTTTGAGGAATTGGGCGTATACGGGATATCTTCAAATACAAATTACACAGAAGCATTCTCAGAAACTGCTCTGTGATGTGTGCATTCCTCTCACAGAGTTGAAACTTTCTTTTGAGAAAGCTGTTCTGAAACAGTCTTTTTGTAGTATCTGCAAGTGGATATTTGGAGCGATTTGAGGCCTATGATGGAAAAGGAAATATGTTCACTTACAAACTAGACAGAAGCATTCTCAGAAACTGCTTTGTGATGTGTGTGTTCAATTCACAGGGTTGACTCTTTCTTTTGATTGAGCAGTTTTGAACCACCTGTTTTGTAGAATCTGCTTGTGGATATTTGTAGCTCTTGGAGGAATTCTTTGTAAAAGGGATATCTTCACATACACACTTGTCAGAAGCATTCTCAGAAACTTCTTTGTGATGTGTGAATTGAACTCACAGAGTTGAACCTTCCTTTTGAGAGAGCCGTTTTGAAACAATCTTTTTGAAGTATCTTCAATTGGATGTTTGTAGTGATTTGAGGCCTAAGATGGAAGAGGAAATATCTTCACATACAATCTAGACAGAAGCACTCTCAGAAGCTGCTTGGTGATGTCTGCATTCAACTCACAGACTTGAACCCTTGTTTTGAAAGAGCAGTGTTGAAACACACATTTTGTACGATCTGCAAGTGTTCATTTGGAACGCTGTTGTGCCTATGGTGGATAAAGAAATATCTTCACATAAATACTAGAAAGTAGCATTCTCAGAAACTGCTTTGTGATGTGTGCATTCAACTCACAGAGTTGCACCCTCCTTTTGAGAGAGAGGTTTTGAAACAGTCTTTTTGTAGTATCTGCAAGTGGATATTTTTAGTGATTTGAGGTCTAAGATGGAAAAGGAAATACCTTCACCTACAAACTAGACAGAAGCATTCTCAGAAACTGCTTTGTGATGTGTGCATTAAACTTACAGACTTGAAACTTTATTTTGATAGAGCAGTGTTGAAACACACTTTTTATAGAATCTGCAAGTGTTCATTTGGAGAGCTTTGTTGCCTGTGGTGGAAAAAGGAATATGTTCACCTAGAAACTAGAAAGAAGCCTTCTCAGAAACTCCTTTGAGATGTTTGTGTCCAATTCACAAAGTTGAACCTTTCTTTTGATAGAGCAGATTTGAAACACTGCTTTTGTAGAATCTGCTTGCGGATATTTGGCGGTCTTTTAGGAATTGGGCGTATACGGGAGATCTTCACATACAAGTTACACAGAAGCATTCTCAGAAACTGCTTTGTGATGTGTGCATTCAACTCACAGAGTTGAAACTTTCTTTTGAGAAAGCAGTTTTGAAACAGTCTTTTTGTAGTATCTGCAAGTGGATATTTGGAGCGATTTGAGGCCTATGATGGAAAAGGAAATATGTTCACATACAAACTAGACAGAAGCGTTCTGAGAAACTGCTTTGTGATGTGTGCATTCACCTCACAGAGTGGAACCTTTCTTTGGATAGAGCAGTTTTGAAACAGTCTTTCTCTAGTATCTGCAAGTGTTCATTTTGAGCGCTTTGAGGCCCATGATGGAAAAGGAAATATTTTCACATAAAAACTAGACAGAAGCTTTCTCAGGAACTTCATTGAGATGTGTGCATTAAAGTAACTGAGTTGAATACGTCTTTTGATAGAGCAGTATTGAAACACTTCTTTTGTAGAATCTGCCTGTGGATATCTGGAACTCTTTGAAGAATTATTTGGAAACGGCTATCTTCACATAAAAAGTAGACCCAAGCATTCACAGAACGTTCTTTGTGACATGTACATTGGACTCCCAGACTTGAAACTTTCTTTTGATAGAGCAGTGTTGGAACACACTTTTTGTAGAATCTTCATGTGTTCGTTTGGAGTGCTCTGTTGCCTATGGTGGAAAAAGGAATATCTTCACCTAAAAACCAGACAGAAGCATTCTCAGAGACTGCTTTGTGATGTGTGTGTTCAATTCGCAGAGTTGAAAGTTGCTTTGGATAGAGCAGTTTTGAAACACTGCTTTTGTAGAATCTGCTTGTTGCTATTGGGGGCTCTTTGAGGAATTTGTTGTAAACGGGATATCTTCACATACAAAGTAGACAGAAGCATTCTCAGAAACTGCTCTGTGATGTGTGCATTCAACTCACAGAGTTGAACCTTCCTTTTGCGAGAGCTGTTTTGAAGCAGTCTTTTTGTGGTATCTGCAATTGGATATTTGGATCGATTTGAGGCCTAAGATGGAAAAGGAAATATCTTCACATACAAACTAGACAGAAGCATTCTCAGACACTGCGTTGTGATGTGTGCATTCAACTCACAGAGTTGAACCTTCCTTTTGAGAGCAGTTTTGAAACAGTCTTTTTGAAGTATCTGCAAGTGGATGTTTGGAGAGATTTGAGGCCTAAGATGGAAAAGGATATATCTTCACCTAAAAACTAGGCAGAAGCATTCTCAGAAACTGCTTTGTGATGTGGGGATTCAACTCACAGGCTTGAAACTTTCTTTTGATAGAGCAGGGTTGAAACACACTTTTTGTAGAATCTGCAAGTGTTCATTTGGAGTGCTTTCTTGCCCATGGTGGAAAAAGAAATATCTTCACGTAAAAACTAGACAGAAACATTCTCAGAAAATACTTTGTGATGTGGTTGTTCAATTCACAGGGTTGAACCTTTCTTTAGATAAAGCAGTTTTGAAACACTGCTTTTGTAGAATCTTCTTGTGGATATTTGGAGCTGTTTGAGGAATTCGTTTTAAACGGGATATCTTCACATTCAAACTAGTCAGAAGCATTCTCAGAAACTGGTTTGTGATGTGTGCATTCTACTCACAGAGTTGAACCTTCCTTTTGAGAGAGCAGTTTTGAAACAATCTTTTTGTATTCTCTACAAGTGGATACTTGGAGCAATGGGAGGACTAAGATTGAAAAGGAAATATCTTCACGGCCAAACTTGACAGAAGCTTTCTCAGAATCTGCTTTGTGATGTGTGCATTTACCTCACAGAGTGGAACCGTCCTTTTGATAGAGCAGTTCTGAAACAGTCTTTTTGTAGGATCTGCGAGTGTTCATTTTGGAGCACTTTTAAGCCTTTGGCGGAAAAGGAAATATCTTCACAAAAAAACTAGACAGAGGCATGCTCAGGAACTTCACTGAGATGTGTGCATTCAAGTAACTGAGTTGAATCTGCCTTTTGATAGAGCAGAATTGAAACACTCCTTTTGTAGAATCTGCTTGTGGATATTTGGAACTCTTTCAGGAGTTCGTTGGCAGCTGGTATCTTCACAAAAAAAGGAGACCCAAGGATTCTCAAAAAGTTCCTTGAGATGTGTGCCTTAAACTCACAGACTTCAAACTTTCTTTTGAGAGATCAGTGTTGGAACACGCTTTTTGTAGAATCTGCAAGTGTTCATTTAGTGCGCTTTGTTGCCTATGGTGGAAAAAGAAATATCTTCAAATGAAAACTAGACAGAAACATTCTCAGAAACTCCTTTGTGAAGTGTGTGTCAAATTCACAGAATTGAAATATTCCTTTGATAGCGCAGCTTTGAAACACCGCTTTTATAGGATCTGCTTGTGGATATCTGGAGCTCTTTGAGGAATTTGTTGTAAACGGGATATCTTCACATACAAAGTAGACAGAAGCATTCTCAGAAACTGCTTTGTGATGTGTGCATTCCAATCACAGACTTCAACCTTTCTTTTGAAAGAGCAGGGTTCAAACACACATTTTGTAGGATGTGCAAGTGTTCACTTGGAGCGCTTTTTTGCCTATGGTGGAAAAAGAAATATCTTCACATAAATACTAGACAGAAGCATTCTCAGAAACGCCTTAGTGATGTGTTTGTTCTATTCAGAGAGTTGAACCTTTCTTTTGATAGAGCAGTTTTGATACACTGCTTCTGTAGAATCTGCTTGTGGATATTTGGAGCTCTTTGAGGAATTCGTTGTAAACGGGATATCTTCACATACAAACTAGACAGAAGCATTCTCAGAAACTGCTTTGTGGTGTGTGCATTCAACTCACAGAGTTGAACCTTCCTTCTGAGAGAGCAGTTTTTAAACAGTCTCTTTGAAATATCTGCAAGTGGATATTTGGAGCGATGGGAAGTCTAAGTTTGAAAAGGAAATATCCTCACATACAAACTAGACAGAAGCAATCTCATTAACTGCTTTGCGATGTGTGCATTCAGCTCACAGAGTTGAACCTTCCTTTTGAGAGAGCAGTTTTGAAACAGTTTTTTGTAGTATCCTCAAGTGGATATATGGAGCGATGTGAGGCTTAAGATGGAAACGGGAATATCTTCACATGCAAACTAGAAAGAAGCATTCTCAGAAACTGCTTTGTGATGGGTGCATTCAACTCAGAGACTTGAACATTTCTTTAGACGGAGCAGTGTTGAAACACACATATGCAGAATCTGCAAGAGTTCATTTGGAGCGCTTTGATGCCTATGGTGGAAAAAGAAATATCTTCACATAAAGACTAGAAAGAAGCGTTCTCCGAAACTCCTTTGTGATATATGTGTTCAGTTCACAGAGTTGAACCTTTCTTTTGATTGAGCAGTTTTGAAACACTGCTTTTCTAGAATCTGCTTTTGGATATTTGAAGCTCTTTGACGAATTCACTGTCAATGTTATATCTTCACATACAAACTAGACAGAAGCATTCTCAGAAACTGCTTTTTGATGTGTGCATTCAACACACGGAGTTGAACCTTCCTTCTGAGAACAGTTTTGAAGCAGTCTTTTTGTGGTATCTGCAAGTCGATATTTGGAACGATTTGGGACCTATGAGGGAAAAGGAACTATCTTCACGTACAAGCTAGACAGAAGCATTCTCAGAAACTGCTTTGTGATGTGTGCATTCAACACACGGAGTTGAACCTTCCTTCTGAGAGAACGGTTTTCAAACAGTCTTTTTGTAGTATCTGCAAGTCGATATTTGGAACGATTTGAGGCCTATGAGGGAAAAGGAACTATCTTCACATACAAACTAGACAGAAGCATGCTCAGAAACTGCTGTGTGATGTGTGCATTCAACTCACAGAGTTGAACCTTCCTTTTGAGAGAGACGTTTTGAAACAGTCTTTTTGTAGTATGTACAGGTGGATATTTTTGGTGATTTGAGGTCTAAGATGGAAAAGGAAATACCTTCACCTACAAACTAGACAGAAGCATTCTCAGAAACTGCTTTGTGATGTGTGCATTAAACTTACAGACTTGAAACCTTATTTTGATAGAGCAGTGTTGAAACACACTTTTTATAGAATCTGCAAGTGTTCATTTGGAGAGCTTTGTTGCCTGTGGTGGAAAAAGAAATGTGTTCACATACAAACTAGAAAGAAGCCTTCTCAGAAACTCCTTTGAGATGTTTGTGTCCAATTCACAAAGTTGAACCTTTCTTTTGATAGAGCAGATTTGAAACACTGCTTTTGTAGAATCTGCTTGCATGTATTTGGAGGTCTTTGAGGAATTGGGCGTATACGGGATATCTTCACATACAAATTACACAGAAGCATTCTCAGCAAACTGCTCTGTGATGTGTGCATTCAACTAACAGAGTTGAAACTTTCTTTGGAGAAAGCAGTTCTGAAACAGTCTTTTTGTAGTATCTGCAAGTGGATACTTGGAGCGATTTGAGGCCTATGATGGAAAAGGAAATATGTTCACTTACAAACTAGACAGAAGCATGCTCAGAAACTGCTTTGTGATGTGTGTGTTCAATTCACAGGGTTGACTCTTTCTTTTGATTGAGCAGTTTTGAACAACCTGTTTTGTAGAATCTGCTTGTGGATATTTGTAGCTCTTGGAAGAATTCATTGTAAAAGGGATATCTTCACATACACACAAGTCAGAAGCATTCTCAGAAACTTCTTTGTGATTGTGAATTGAACTCACAGAGTTGATCCTTCCTTCTGAGAGAGCCGTTTTGAAACAATCTTTTTGAAGTATCTTCAATTGGATACTTGTAGTGATTTGAGGCCTAAGATGGAAAAGGAAATATCTTCACATACAATCTAGACAGAAGCACTCTCAGAAGCTGCTTGGTGATGTCTGCATTCAACTCACAGACTTTAACCCTTGTTTTGAAAGAGCAGTGTTGAAACACACATTTTGTAGGATCTGCAAGTGTTCATTTGGAGAGCTTTTGTGCCTATGGTGGAAAAAGCAATATCTTCACATAAATACTAGACAGAAGCATTCTCAGAAACTGCTTTGTGATGTGTGCATTCAACTCACAGAGTTGAACCTTCCTTTTGAGAGAGAGATTTTGAAACAGTCTTTTTGTAGTATCTGCAAGTGGATATTTTTAGTGATTTGAGGTGTAAGATGGAAAAGGAAATACCTTCACCTACAAACTAGACAGAAGCATTCTCAGAAACTGCTTGGTGATGTGTGCATTCAACTCACAGAGTTGAAACTTTCTTTTGAGAATGCAGTTTTGAAACAGTCTTCTTGTAGTATCTGCAAGTGGATATTTGGAGCGATTTGAGGCCTATGATGGAAAAGGAAATATGTTCACATACAAACTAGACACAAGCGTTCTCAGAAACTGCTTTGTGATGTGTGCATTCACCTCACAGAGTGGAACCGTTCTTTGGATAGAGCAGTTTTGAAACAGTCTTTCTCTAGTATCTGCAAGTGTTCATTTTGAGCGCTTTGAGGCCCATGATGGAAAAGTTAATATTTTCACATAAACCTAGACAGAAGCTTTCTCAGGAATTTCATTGAGATGTGTGCATTAAGGTAACTGATTTGAATACGTCTTTTGATAGAGCAGTATTGAAACACTTCTTTTGTATAATCTGCCTGTGGATATCTGGAACTCTTTGAAGAATTCTTTGGAAACGGCTATCTTCACATAAAAACTAGACCCAAGCATTCTCAGAAAGTTCTTTGTGATATGTACATTGGACTCCCAGACTTGAACCTTTCTTTTGATAGAGCAGTGCTGGAACACACTTTTTGTAGAATCTTCATGTGTTCGTCTGGAGTGCTTTGTTGCCTATGGTAGAAAAAGGAATATCTTCACCTAAAAACAAGACAGAAGCATTCTCAGAGACTGCTTTGTGATGTGTGTGTTCAATTCGCTGAGTTGAATGTTCCTTTTGATAGAGCAGTTTTGAAACACTGCTTTTGTAGAATCTGCTTGTTGATATTGGGGGCTCTATGAGGAATTTGTTGTAAACGGGATATCTTCACATACAAAGTAGACAGAAGCATTCTCAGAAACTGCTCTGTGATGTGTGCATTCAACTCACAGAGTTGAACCTTCCTTTTGCGAGAGCTGTTTTGAAGCAGTCTTTTTGTGGTATCTGCAATTGGATATTTGGATCGATTTGAGGCCTAAGATGGAAAAGGAAATATCTCCACATACAAACTAGACAGAAGCATTCTCAGACACTGCGTTGTGATGTGTGCATTCAACTCACAGAGTTGAACCTTCCTTTTGAGAGCAGTTTTGAAACAGTCTTTTTGAAGTATCTGCAAGTGGATGTTTGGAGAGATTTGAGGCCTAAGATGGAAAAGGATATATCTTCACCTAAAAACTAGGCAGAAGCATTCTCAGAAACTGCTTTGTGATGTGGGGATTCAACTCACAGGCTTGAAACTTTCTTTTGATACAGCAGGGTTCAAACACACTTTTTGTAGAATCTGCAAGTGTTCATTTGGAGTGCTTTCTTGCCCATGGTGGAAAAAGAAATATCTTCACGTAAAAACTAGACAGAAACATTCTCAGAAAATACTTTGTGATGTGGTTGTTCAATTCACAGGGTTGAACCTTTCTTTAGATAAAGCAGTTTTGAAACACTGCTTTTGTAGAATCTTCTTGTGGATATTTGGAGCTGTTTGAGGAATTCGTTTTAAACGGGATATCTTCACATTCAAACTAGTCAGAAGCATTCTCAGAAACTGGTTTGTGATGTGTGCATTCTACTCACAGAGTTGAACCTTCCTTTTGAGAGAGCAGTTTTGAAACAATCTTTTTGTATTCTCTACAAGTGGATACTTGGAGCAATGGGAGGACTAAGATTGAAAAGGAAATATCTTCACGGCCAAACTTGACAGAAGCTTTCTCAGAATCTGCTTTGTGATGTGTGCATTTACCTCACAGAGTGGAACCGTCCTTTTGATAGAGCAGTTCTGAAACAGTCTTTTTGTAGGATCTGCGAGTGTTCATTTTGGAGCGCTTTTAAGCCTTTGGTGGAAAAGGAAATATCTTCACAAAAAAACTAGACAGAGGCATGCTCAGGAACTTCACTGAGATGTGTGCATTCAAGTAACTGAGTTGAATCTGCCTTTTGATAGAGCAGAATTGAAACACTCCTTTTGTAGAATCTGCTTGTGGATATTTGGAACTCTTTCAGGAGTTCGTTGGCAGCTGGTATCTTCACAAAAAAAGGAGACCCAAGGATTCTCAAAAAGTTCCTTGAGATGTGTGCCTTAAACTCACAGACTTCAAACTTTCTTTTGAGAGATCAGTGTTGGAACACGCTTTTTGTAGAATCTGCAAGTGTTCATTTAGTGCGCTTTGTTGCCTATGGTGGAAAAAGAAATATCTTCAAATGAAAACTAGACAGAAACATTCTCAGAAACTCCTTTGTGAAGTGTGTGTCAAATTCACAGAATTGAAATATTCCTTTGATAGCGCAGCTTTGAAACACCGCTTTTATAGGATCTGCTTGTGGATATCTGGAGCTCTTTGAGGAATTTGTTGTAAACGGGATATCTTCACATACAAAGTAGACAGAAGCATTCTCAGAAACTGCTTTGTGATGTGTGCATTCCAATCACAGACTTCAACCTTTCTTTTGAAAGAGCAGTGTTGAAACACACATTTTGTAGCATGTGCAAGTGTTCACTTGGAGCTCTTTTTTGCCTATGGGGAAAAAGAAATATCTTCACATAAATACTAGACAGAAAGCATTCTCAGAAACGCCTTAGTGATGTGTTTGTTCTATTCAGAGAGTTGAACCTTTCTTTTGATAGAGCAGTTTTGATACACTGCTTCTGTAGAATCTGCTTGTGGATATTTGGAGCTCTTTGAGGAATTCGTTGTAAACGGGATATCTTCACATACAAACTAGACAGAGCATTCTCAGAAACTGCTTTGTGGTGTGTGCATTCAACTCACAGAGTTGAACCTTCCTTCTGAGAGAGCAGTTTTTAAACAGTCTCTTTGAAATATCTGCAAGTGGATATTTGGAGCGATGGGAAGTCTAAGTTTGAAAAGGAAATACCCTCACATACAAACTAGACAGAAGCAATCTCATTAACTGCTTTGCGATGTGTGCATTCAGCTCACAGAGTTGAACCTTCCTTTTGAGAGAGCAGTTTTGAAACAGTTTTTTGTAGTATCCTCAAGTGGATATATGGAGCGATGTGAGGCTTAAGATGGAAACGGGAATATCTTCACATACAAACTAGAAAGAAGCATTCTCAGAAACTGCTTTGTGATGGGTGCATTCAACTCAGAGACTTGAACATTTCTTTAGACGGAGCAGTGTTGAAACACACATATGCAGAATCTGCAAGAGTTCATTTGGAGCGCTTTGATGCCTATGGTGGAAAAAGAAATATCTTCACATAAAGACTAGAAAGAAGCGTTCTCCGAAACTCCTTTGTGATATATGTGTTCAGTTCACAGAGTTGAACCTTTCTTTTGATTGAGCAGTTTTGAAACACTGCTTTTCTAGAATCTGCTTTTGGATATTTGAAGCTCTTTGACGAATTCGCTGTCAATGTTATATCTTCACATACAAACTAGACAGAAGCATTCTCAGAAACTGCTTTTTGATGTGTGCATTCAACACACGGAGTTGAACCTTCCTTCTGAGAACAGTTTTGAAGCAGTCTTTTTGTGGTATCTGCAAGTCGATATTTGGAACGATTTGGGACCTATGAGGGAAAAGGAACTATCTTCACATAGAAGCTAGACAGAAGCATACTCAGAAACTGCTTTGTGATGTGTGCATTCAACTCACAGAGTTGAGCCTTCCTTTTGAGAGAGAGGTTTTGAAACAGTCTTTTTGTAGTATATACAAGTGGATATTTTTAGTGATTTGAGGTCTAATATGGAAAAGGAAATACCTTCACCTACAAACTAGACAGAAGCATTCTCAGAAACTGCTTTGTGATGTGTGCATTAAACTTACAGACTTGAAACCTTATTTTGATATAGCAGTGTTGAAACACACTTTTTATAGAACCTGCAAGTGTTCATTTGGAGAGCTTTGTTGCCTGTGGTGGAAAAAGAAATGTGTTCACATACAAACTAGAAAGAAGCCTTCTCAGAAACTCCTTTGAGATGTTTGTGTCCAATTCACAAAGTTGAACCTTTCTTTTGATAGAGCAGATTTGAAACACTGCTTTTGTAGAATCTGCTTGCGTGTATTTGGAGGTCTTTGAGGAATTGGGCGTATACGGGATATCTTCACATACAAATTACACAGAAGCATTCTCAGAAACTGCTCTGTGATGTGTGCATTCAACTCACAGAGTTGAAACTTTCTTTTGAGAAAGCAGTTCTGAAACAGTCTTTTTGTAGTATCTGCAAGTGGATATTTGGAGCGATTTGAGGCCTATGATGGAAAAGGAAATATGTTCACATACAAACTAGACAGAAGCGTTCTCAGAAACTGCTTTGTGATGTGTGCATTCACCTCACAGAGTGGAACCGTTCTTTGGATAGAGCAGTTTTGAAACAGTCTTTCTCTAGTATCTGCAAGTGTCCATTTTGAGCACTTTGAGGCCCATGATGGAAAAGGAAATATTTTCACATAAAAACTAGACAGAAGCTTTCTCAGGAACTTCATTGAGATGTGTGCATTAAAGTAACTGAGTTGAATACGTCTTTTGATAGAGCAGTATTGAAACACTTCTTTTGTAGAATCTGCCTGTGGATATCTGGAACTCTTTGAAGAATTCTTTGGAAACGGCTATCTTCACATAAAAAGTAGACCCAAGCATTCTCAGAAAGTTCTTTGCGATATGTACATTGGACTCCCAGCACTTGAACCTTTCTTTTGATAGAGCAGTGTTGGAACACACTTTTTGTAGAATCTTCATGTGTTCGTTTGGAGTGCTTTGTTGCCTCTGGTGGAAAAAGGAATATCTTCACCTAAAAACCAGACAGAAGCATTCTCAGAGACTGCTTTGTGATGTGTGTGTTCAATTCACAGAGTTGAAAGTTGCTTTTGATAGAGCAGTTTTGAAACACTGCTTTTGTAGAATCTGCTTGTTGCTATTGGGGGCTCTTTGAGGAATTTGTTGTAAACGGGATATCTTCACATACAAACTAGACAGAAGCATTCTCAGAAACTGCTCTGTGATGTGTGCATTCAACTCACAGAGTTGAACCTTCCTTTTGCGAGAGCTGTTTTGAAGCAGTCTTTTTGTGGTATCTGCAATTGGATATTTGGATCGATTTGAGGCCTAAGATGGAAAAGGAAATATCTTCACATACAAACTAGACAGAAGCATTCTCAGACACTGCGTTGTGATGTGTGCATTCAACTCACAGAGTTGAACCTTCCTTTTGAGAGCAGTTTTGAAACAGTCTTTTTGAAGTATCTGCAAGTGGATGTTTGGAGAGATTTGAGGCCTAAGATGGAAAAGGATATATCTTCACCTAAAAACTAGGCAGAAGCATTCTCAGAAACTGCTTTGTGATGTGGGGATTCAACTCACAGGCTTGAAACTTTCTTTTGATAGAGCAGGGTTGAAACACACTTTTTGTAGAATCTGCAAGTGTTCATTTGGAGTGCTTTCTTGCCCATGGTGGAAAAAGAAATATCTTCACGTAAAAACTAGACAGAAACATTCTCAGAAAATACTTTGTGATGTGGTTGTTCAATTCACAGGGTTGAACCTTTCTTTAGATAAAGCAGTTTTGAAACACTGCTTTTGTAGAATCTTCTTGTGGATATTTGGAGCTGTTTGAGGAATTCGTTTTAAACGGGATATCTTCACATTCAAACTAGTCAGAAGCATTCTCAGAAACTGGTTTGTGATGTGTGCATTCTACTCACAGAGTTGAACCTTCCTTTTGAGAGAGCAGTTTTGAAACAATCTTTTTGTATTCTCTACAAGTGGATACTTGGAGCAATGGGAGGACTAAGATTGAAAAGGAAATATCTTCACGGCCAAACTTGACAGAAGCTTTCTCAGAATCTGCTTTGTGATGTGTGCATTTACCTCACAGAGTGGAACCGTCCTTTTGATAGAGCAGTTCTGAAACAGTCTTTTTGTAGGATCTGCGAGTGTTCATTTTGGAGCGCTTTTAAGCCTTTGGCGGAAAAGGAAATATCTTCACAAAAAAACTAGACAGAGGCATGCTCAGGAACTTCACTGAGATGTGTGCATTCAAGTAACTGAGTTGAATCTGCCTTTTGATAGAGCAGAATTGAAACACTCCTTTTGTAGAATCTGCTTGTGGATATTTGGAACTCTTTCAGGAGTTCGTTGGCAGCTGGTATCTTCACAAAAAAAGGAGACCCAAGGATTCTCAAAAAGTTCCTTGAGATGTGTGCCTTAAACTCACAGACTTCAAACTTTCTTTTGAGAGATCAGTGTTGGAACACGCTTTTTGTAGAATCTGCAAGTGTTCATTTAGTGCGCTTTGTTGCCTATGGTGGAAAAAGAAATATCTTCAAATGAAAACTAGACAGAAACATTCTCAGAAACTCCTTTGTGAAGTGTGTGTCAAATTCACAGAATTGAAATATTCCTTTGATAGCGCAGCTTTGAAACACCGCTTTTATAGGATCTGCTTGTGGATATCTGGAGCTCTTTGAGGAATTTGTTGTAAACGGGATATCTTCACATACAAAGTAGACAGAAGCATTCTCAGAAACTGCTTTGTGATGTGTGCATTCCAATCACAGACTTCAACCTTTCTTTTGAAAGAGCAGTGTTCAAACACACATTTTGTAGGATGTGCAAGTGTTCACTTGGAGCGCTTTTTTGCCTATGGTGGAAAAAGAAATATCTTCACATAAATACTAGACAGAAGCATTCTCAGAAACGCCTTAGTGATGTGTTTGTTCTATTCAGAGAGTTGAACCTTTCTTTTGATAGAGCAGTTTTGATACACTGCTTCTGTAGAATCTGCTTGTGGATATTTGGAGCTCTTTGAGGAATTCGTTGTAAACGGGATATCTTCACATACAAACTAGACAGAAGCATTCTCAGAAACTGCTTTGTGGTGTGTGCATTCAACTCACAGAGTTGAACCTTCCTTCTGAGAGAGCAGTTTTTAAACAGTCTCTTTGAAATATCTGCAAGTGGATATTTGGAGCGATGGGAAGTCTAAGTTTGAAAAGGAAATATCCTCACATACAAACTAGACAGAAGCAATCTCATTAACTGCTTTGCGATGTGTGCATTCAGCTCACAGAGTTGAACCTTCCTTTTGAGAGAGCAGTTTTGAAACAGTTTTTTGTAGTATCCTCAAGTGGATATATGGAGCGATGTGAGGCTTAAGATGGAAACGGGAATATCTTCACATGCAAACTAGAAAGAAGCATTCTCAGAAACTGCTTTGTGATGGGTGCATTCAACTCAGAGACTTGAACATTTCTTTAGACGGAGCAGTGTTGAAACACACATATGCAGAATCTGCAAGAGTTCATTTGGAGCGCTTTGATGCCTATGGTGGAAAAAGAAATATCTTCACATAAAGACTAGAAAGAAGCGTTCTCCGAAACTCCTTTGTGATATATGTGTTCAGTTCACAGAGTTGAACCTTTCTTTTGATTGAGCAGTTTTGAAACACTGCTTTTCTAGAATCTGCTTTTCGATATTTGAAGCTCTTTGACGAATTCACTGTCAATGTTATATCTTCACATACAAACTAGACAGAAGCATTCTCAGAAACTGCTTTTTGATGTGTGCATTCAACACACGGAGTTGAACCTTCCTTCTGAGAACAGTTTTGAAGCAGTCTTTTTGTGGTATCTGCAAGTCGATATTTGGAACGATTTGGGACCTATGAGGGAAAAGGAACTATCTTCACGTACAAGCTAGACAGAAGCATTCTCAGAAACTGCTTTGTGATGTGTGCATTCAACACACGGAGTTGAACCTTCCTTCTGAGAGAACGGTTTTCAAACAGTCTTTTTGTAGTATCTGCAAGTCGATATTTGGAACGATTTGAGGCCTATGAGGGAAAAGGAACTATCTTCACATACAAACTAGACAGAAGCATGCTCAGAAACTGCTGTGTGATGTGTGCATTCAACTCACAGAGTTGAACCTTCCTTTTGAGAGAGACGTTTTGAAACAGTCTTTTTGTAGTATGTACAGGTGGATATTTTTGGTGCTTTGAGGTCTAAGATGGAAAAGGAAATACCTTCACCTACAAACTAGACAGAAGCATTCTCAGAAACTGCTTTGTGATGTGTGCATTAAACTTACAGACTTGAAACCTTATTTTGATAGAGCAGTGTTGAAACACACTTTTTATAGAATCTGCAAGTGTTCATTTGGAGAGCTTTGTTGCCTGTGGTGGAAAAAGAAATGTGTTCACATACAAACTAGAAAGAAGCCTTCTCAGAAACTCCTTTGAGATGTTTGTGTCCAATTCACAAAGTTGAACCTTTCTTTTGATAGAGCAGATTTGAAACACTGCTTTTGTAGAATCTGCTTGCATGTATTTGGAGGTCTTTGAGGAATTGGGCGTATACGGGATATCTTCACATACAAATTACACAGAAGCATTCTCAGAAACTGCTCTGTGATGTGTGCATTCCTCTCACAGAGTTGAAACTTTCTTTTGAGAAAGCTGTTCTGAAACAGTCTTTTTGTAGTATCTGCAAGTGGATATTTGGAGCGATTTGAGGCCTATGATGGAAAAGGAAATATGTTCACTTACAAACTAGACAGAAGCATTCTCAGAAACTGCTTTGTGATGTGTGTGTTCAATTCACAGGGTTGACTCTTTCTTTTGATTGAGCAGTTTTGAACCACCTGTTTTGTAGAATCTGCTTGTGGATATTTGTAGCTCTTGGAGGAATTCTTTGTAAAAGGGATATCTTCACATACACACTAGTCAGAAGCATTCTCAGAAACTTCTTTGTGATGTGTGAATTGAACTCACAGAGTTGAACCTTCCTTTTGAGAGAGCCGTTTTGAAACAATCTTTTTGAAGTATCTTCAATTGGATGTTTGTAGTGATTTGAGGCCTAAGATGGAAGAGGAAATATCTTCACATACAATCTAGACAGAAGCACTCTCAGAAGCTGCTTGGTGATGTCTGCATTCAACTCACAGACTTGAACCCTTGTTTTGCAAGAGCAGTGTTGAAACACACATTTTGTACGATCTGCAAGTGTTCATTTGGAACGCTGTTGTGCCTATGGTGGATAAAGAAATATCTTCACATAAATACTAGAAAGTAGCATTCTCAGAAACTGCTTTGTGATGTGTGCATTCAACTCACAGAGTTGAACCTTCCTTTTGAGAGAGAGGTTTTGAAACAGTCTTTTTGTAGTATCTGCAAGTGGATATTTTTAGTGATTTGAGGTCTAAGATGGAAAAGGAAATACCTTCACCTACAAACTAGACAGAAGCATTCTCAGAAACTGCTTTGTGATGTGTGCATTAAACTTACAGACTTGAAACTTTATTTTGATAGAGCAGTGTTGAAACACACTTTTTATAGAATCTGCAAGTGTTCCTTTGGAGAGCTTTGTTGCCTGTGGTGGAAAAAGGAATATGTTCACCTAGAAACTAGAAAGAAGCCTTCTCAGAAACTCCTTTGAGATGTTTGTGTCCAATTCACAAAGTTGAACCTTTCTTTTGATAGAGCAGATTTGAAACACTGCTTTTGTAGAATCTGCTTGCGGATATTTGGCGGTCTTTTAGGAATTGGGCGTATACGGGAGATCTTCACATACAAGTTACACAGAAGCATTCTCAGAAACTGCTTTGTGATGTGTGCATTCAACTCACAGAGTTGAAACTTTCTTTTGAGAAAGCAGTTTTGAAACAGTCTTTTTGTAGTATCTGCAAGTGGATATTTGGAGCGATTTGAGGCCTATGATGGAAAAGGAAATATGTTCACATACAAACTAGACAGAAGCGTTCTGAGAAACTGCTTTGTGATGTGTGCATTCACCTCACAGAGTGGAACCTTTCTTTGGATAGAGCAGTTTTGAAACAGTCTTTCTCTAGTATCTGCAAGTGTTCATTTTGAGCGCTTTGAGGCCCATGATGGAAAAGGAAATATTTTCACATAAAAACTAGACAGAAGCTTTCTCAGGAACTTCATTGAGATGTGTGCATTAAAGTAACTGAGTTGAATACGTCTTTTGATAGAGCAGTATTGAAACACTTCTTTTGTAGAATCTGCCTGTGGATATCTGGAACTCTTTGAAGAATTCTTTGGAAACGGCTATCTTCACATAAAAAGTAGACCCAAGCATTCACAGAACGTTCTTTGTGACATGTACATTGGACTCCCAGACTTGAAACTTTCTTTTGATAGAGCAGTGTTGGAACACACTTTTTGTAGAATCTTCATGTGTTCGTTTGGAGTGCTCTGTTGCCTATGGTGGAAAAAGGAATATCTTCACCTAAAAACCAGACAGAAGCATTCTCAGAGACTGCTTTGTGATGTGTGTGTTCAATTCGCAGAGTTGAAAGTTGCTTTGGATAGAGCAGTTTTGAAACACTGCTTTTGTAGAATCTGCTTGTTGCTATTGGGGGCTCTTTGAGGAATTTGTTGTAAACGGGATATCTTCACATACAAAGTAGGCAGAAGCATTCTCAGAAACTGCTCTGTGATGTGTGCATTCAACTCACAGAGTTGAACCTTCCTTTTGCGAGAGCTGTTTTGAAGCAGTCTTTTTGTGGTATCTGCAATTGGATATTTGGATCGATTTGAGGCCTAAGATGGAAAAGGAAATATCTTCACATACAAACTAGACAGAAGCATTCTCAGACACTGCGTTGTGATGTGTGCATTCAACTCACAGAGTTGAACCTTCCTTTTGAGAGCAGTTTTGAAACAGTCTTTTTGAAGTATCTGCAAGTGGATGTTTGGAGAGATTTGAGGCCTAAGATGGAAAAGGATATATCTTCACCTAAAAACTAGGCAGAAGCATTCTCAGAAACTGCTTTGTGATGTGGGGATTCAACTCACAGGCTTGAAACTTTCTTTTGATAGAGCAGGGTTCAAACACACTTTTTGTAGAATCTGCAAGTGTTCATTTGGAGTGCTTTCTTGCCCATGGTGGAAAAAGAAATATCTTCACGTAAAAACTAGACAGAAACATTCTCAGAAAATACTTTGTGATGTGGTTGTTCAATTCACAGGGTTGAACCTTTCTTTAGATAAAGCAGTTTTGAAACACTGCTTTTGTAGAATCTTCTTGTGGATATTTGGAGCTGTTTGAGGAATTCGTTTTAAACGGGATATCTTCACATTCAAACTAGTCAGAAGCTTTCTCAGAAACTTCTTTGTGATGTGTGAATTGAATTCACAGAGTTGAATCTTCCTTTTGAGAGAGCCGTTTTGAAACAATCTTTTTGAAGTATCTTCAATTGGATGTTTGTAGTGATTTGAGGCCTAAGATGGAAAAGGAAATATCTTCACGGCCAAACTTGACAGAAGCTTTCTCAGAATCTGCTTTGTGATGTGTGCATTTACCTCACAGAGTGGAACCGTCCTTTTGATAGAGCAGTTCTGAAACAGTCTTTTTGTAGGATCTGCGAGTGTTCATTTTGGAGCGCTTTTAAGCCTTTGGCGGAAAAGGAAATATCTTCACAAAAAAACTAGACAGAGGCATGCTCAGGAACTTCACTGAGATGTGTGCATTCAAGTAACTGAGTTGAATCTGCCTTTTGATAGAGCAGAATTGAAACACTCCTTTTGTAGAATCTGCTTGTGGATATTTGGAACTCTTTCAGGAGTTCGTTGGCAGCTGGTATCTTCACAAAAAAAGGAGACCCAAGGATTCTCAAAAAGTTCCTTGAGATGTGTGCCTTAAACTCACAGACTTCAAACTTTCTTTTGAGAGATCAGTGTTGGAACACGCTTTTTGTAGAATCTGCAAGTGTTCATTTAGTGCGCTTTGTTGCCTATGGTGGAAAAAGAAATATCTTCAAATGAAAACTAGACAGAAACATTCTCAGAAACTCCTTTGTGAAGTGTGTGTCAAATTCACAGAATTGAAATATTCCTTTGATAGCGCAGCTTTGAAACACCGCTTTTATAGGATCTGCTTGTGGATATCTGGAGCTCTTTGAGGAATTTGTTGTAAACGGGATATCTTCACATACAAAGTAGACAGAAGCATTCTCAGAAACTGCTTTGTGATGTGTGCATTCCAATCACAGACTTCAACCTTTCTTTTGAAAGAGCAGTGTTCAAACACACATTTTGTAGGATGTGCAAGTGTTCACTTGGAGCGCTTTTTTGCCTATGGTGGAAAAAGAAATATCTTCACATAAATACTAGACAGAAGCATTCTCAGAAACGCCTTAGTGATGTGTTTGTTCTATTCAGAGAGTTGAACCTTTCTTTTGATAGAGCAGTTTTGATACACTGCTTCTGTAGAATCTGCTTGTGGATATTTGGAGCTCTTTGAGGAATTCGTTGTAAACGGGATATCTTCACATACAAACTAGACAGAAGCATTCTCAGAAACTGCTTTGTGGTGTGTGCATTCAACTCACAGAGTTGAACCTTCCTTCTGAGAGAGCAGTTTTTAAACAGTCTCTTTGAAATATCTGCAAGTGGATATTTGGAGCGATGGGAAGTCTAAGTTTGAAAAGGAAATATCCTCACATACAAACTAGACAGAAGCAATCTCATTAACTGCTTTGCGATGTGTGCATTCAGCTCACAGAGTTGAACCTTCCTTTTGAGAGAGCAGTTTTGAAACAGTTTTTTGTAGTATCCTCAAGTGGATATATGGAGCGATGTGAGGCTTAAGATGGAAACGGGAATATCTTCACATGCAAACTAGAAAGAAGCATTCTCAGAAACTGCTTTGTGATGGGTGCATTCAACTCAGAGACTTGAACATTTCTTTAGACGGAGCAGTGTTGAAACACACATATGCAGAATCTGCAAGAGTTCATTTGGAGCGCTTTGATGCCTATGGTGGAAAAAGAAATATCTTCACATAAAGACTAGAAAGAAGCGTTCTCCGAAACTCCTTTGTGATATATGTGTTCAGTTCACAGAGTTGAACCTTTCTTTTGATTGAGCAGTTTTGAAACACTGCTTTTCTAGAATCTGCTTTTGGATATTTGAAGCTCTTTGACGAATTCACTGTCAATGTTATATCTTCACATACAAACTAGACAGAAGCATTCTCAGAAACTGCTTTTTGATGTGTGCATTCAACACACGGAGTTGAACCTTCCTTCTGAGAACAGTTTTGAAGCAGTCTTTTTGTGGTATCTGCAAGTCGATATTTGGAACGATTTGGGACCTATGAGGGAAAAGGAACTATCTTCACGTACAAGCTAGACAGAAGCATTCTCAGAAACTGCTTTGTGATGTGTGCATTCAACACACGGAGTTGAACCTTCCTTCTGAGAGAACGGTTTTCAAACAGTCTTTTTGTAGTATCTGCAAGTCGATATTTGGAACGATTTGAGGCCTATGAGGGAAAAGGAACTATCTTCACATACAAACTAGACAGAAGCATGCTCAGAAACTGCTGTGTGATGTGTGCATTCAACTCACAGAGTTGAACCTTCCTTTTGAGAGAGACGTTTTGAAACAGTCTTTTTGTAGTATGTACAGGTGGATATTTTTGGTGCTTTGAGGTCTAAGATGGAAAAGGAAATACCTTCACCTACAAACTAGACAGAAGCATTCTCAGAAACTGCTTTGTGATGTGTGCATTAAACTTACAGACTTGAAACCTTATTTTGATAGAGCAGTGTTGAAACACACTTTTTATAGAACCTGCAAGTGTTCATTTGGAGAGCTTTGTTGCCTGTGGTGGAAAAAGAAATGTGTTCACATACAAACTAGAAAGAAGCCTTCTCAGAAACTCCTTTGAGATGTTTGTGTCTAATTCACAAAGTTGAACCTTTCTTTTGGTAGAGCAGATTTGAAACACTGCTTTTGTAGAATCTGCTTGCGTGTATTAGGAGGTCTTTGAGGAATTGGGCGTATACGGGATATCTTCACATACAAATTACACAGAAGCATTCTCAGAAACTGCTCTGTGATGTGTGCATTCAACTCACAGAGTTGAAACTTTCTTTGGAGAAAGCTGTTCTGAAACAGTCTTTTTGTAGTATCTGCAAGTGGATATTTGGAGCGATTTCAGGCCTATGATGGAAAAGGAAATATGTTCACATACAAACTAGACAGAAGCAATCTCAGAAACTGCTTTGTGATGTGTGTGTTCAATTCACAGGGTTGACTATTTCTTTTGATTGAGCAGTTTTGAACCACCTGTTTTGTAGAATCTGCTTGTGGATATTTGTAGCTCTTGGAGGAATTCTTTGTAAAAGGGATATCTGCACATACACACTAGTCAGAAGCATTCTCAGAAACTTCTTTGTGATGTGTGAATTGAATTCACAGAGTTGAACCTTCCTTTTGAGAGAGCCGTTTTGAAACAATCTTTTTGAAGTATCTTCAATTGGATGTTTGTAGTGATTTGAGGCCTAAGATGGAAAAGGAAATATCTTCACATACAATCTAGACAGAGGCACTCTCAGAAGCTGCTTGGTGATGTCTGCATTCAACTCACAGACTTGAACCCTTGTTTTGAAAGAGCAGTGTTGAAACACACATTTTGTACGATCTGCAAGTGTTCATTTGGAGCGCTTTTGTGCCTATGGTGGATAAAGAAATATCTTCACATAAATACTAGACAGAAGCATTCTCAGAAACTGCTTTGTGATGTGTGCATTCAACTCACAGAGTTGAACCTTCCTTTTGAGAGAGAGGTTTTGAAACAGTCTTTTTGTAGTATCTGCAAGTGGATATTTTTAGTGATTTGAGGTCTAAGATGGAAAAGGAAATACCTTCACCTACAAACTAGACAGAAGCATTCTCAGAAACTGCTTTGTGATGTGTGCATTCAACTTACAGACTTGAAACTTTATTTTGATAGAGCAGTGTTGAAACACACTTTTTATAGAATCTGCAAGTGTTCATTTGGAGAGCTTTGTTGCCTCTGGTGGAAAAAGGAATATGTTCACATAGAAACTAGAAAGAAGCATTCTCAGAAACTCCTTTTCGATGTTTGTGTCCAATTCACAAAGTTGAACCTTTCTTTTGATAGAGCAGATTTGAAACACTGCTTTTGTAGACTCTGCTTGCGGATATTTGGAGGTCTTTGAGGAATGGGGCGTATGCGGGAGATCTTCACCTACAAGTTACACAGAAGCATTCTCAGAAACTGCTTTGTGATGTGCGCATTCAACTCACAGAGTTGAAACTTTCTTTTGAGAAAGCAGTTTTGAAACAGTCTTTTTATAGTATCTGCAAGTGGATATTTGGAGCGATTTGAGGCCTATGATGGAAAAGGAAATATGTTCACATACAAACTAGACAGAAGCGTTCTCAGAAACTGCTTTGTGATGTGTGCATTCACCTCACAGAGTGGAACCGTTCTTTGGATAGAGCAGTTTTGAAACAGTCTTTCTCTAGTATCTGCAAGTGTTCATTTTGAGCGCTTTGAGGCCCATGATGGAAAAGTTAATATTTTCACATAAACCTAGACAGAAGCTTTCTCAGGAATTTCATTGAGATGTGTGCATTAAGGTAACTGATTTGAATACGTCTTTTGATAGAGCAGTATTGAAACACTTCTTTTGTATAATCTGCCTGTGGATATCTGGAACTCTTTGAAGAATTCTTTGGAAACGGCTATCTTCACATAAAAACTAGACCCAAGCATTCTCAGAAAGTTCTTTGTGATATGTACATTGGACTCCCAGACTTGAACCTTTCTTTTGATAGAGCAGTGCTGGAACACACTTTTTGTAGAATCTTCATGTGTTCGTCTGGAGTGCTTTGTTGCCTATGGTAGAAAAAGGAATATCTTCACCTAAAAACAAGACAGAAGCATTCTCAGAGACTGCTTTGTGATGTGTGTGTTCAATTCGCTGAGTTGAATGTTCCTTTTGATAGAGCAGTTTTGAAACACTGCTTTTGTAGAATCTGCTTGTTGATATTGGGGGCTCTATGAGGAATTTGTTGTAAACGGGATATCTTCACATACAAAGTAGACAGAAGCATTCTCAGAAACTGCTCTGTGATGTGTGCATTCAACTCACAGAGTTGAACCTTCCTTTTGCGAGAGCTGTTTTGAAGCAGTCTTTTTGTGGTATCTGCAATTGGATATTTGGATCGATTTGAGGCCTAAGATGGAAAAGGAAATATCTCCACATACAAACTAGACAGAAGCATTCTCAGACACTGCGTTGTGATGTGTGCATTCAACTCACAGAGTTGAACCTTCCTTTTGAGAGCAGTTTTGAAACAGTCTTTTTGAAGTATCTGCAAGTGGATGTTTGGAGAGATTTGAGGCCTAAGATGGAAAAGGATATATCTTCACCTAAAAACTAGGCAGAAGCATTCTCAGAAACTGCTTTGTGATGTGGGGATTCAACTCACAGGCTTGAAACTTTCTTTTGATACAGCAGGGTTCAAACACACTTTTTGTAGAATCTGCAAGTGTTCATTTGGAGTGCTTTCTTGCCCATGGTGGAAAAAGAAATATCTTCACGTAAAAACTAGACAGAAACATTCTCAGAAAATACTTTGTGATGTGGTTGTTCAATTCACAGGGTTGAACCTTTCTTTAGATAAAGCAGTTTTGAAACACTGCTTTTGTAGAATCTTCTTGTGGATATTTGGAGCTGTTTGAGGAATTCGTTTTAAACGGGATATCTTCACATTCAAACTAGTCAGAAGCATTCTCAGAAACTGGTTTGTGATGTGTGCATTCTACTCACAGAGTTGAACCTTCCTTTTGAGAGAGCAGTTTTGAAACAATCTTTTTGTATTCTCTACAAGTGGATACTTGGAGCAATGGGAGGACTAAGATTGAAAAGGAAATATCTTCACGGCCAAACTTGACAGAAGCTTTCTCAGAATCTGCTTTGTGATGTGTGCATTTACCTCACAGAGTGGAACCGTCCTTTTGATAGAGCAGTTCTGAAACAGTCTTTTTGTAGGATCTGCGAGTGTTCATTTTGGAGCACTTTTAAGCCTTTGGCGGAAAAGGAAATATCTTCACAAAAAAACTAGACAGAGGCATGCTCAGGAACTTCACTGAGATGTGTGCATTCAAGTAACTGAGTTGAATCTGCCTTTTGATAGAGCAGAATTGAAACACTCCTTTTGTAGAATCTGCTTGTGGATATTTGGAACTCTTTCAGGAGTTCGTTGGCAGCTGGTATCTTCACAAAAAAAGGAGACCCAAGGATTCTCAAAAAGTTCCTTGAGATGTGTGCCTTAAACTCACAGACTTCAAACTTTCTTTTGAGAGATCAGTGTTGGAACACGCTTTTTGTAGAATCTGCAAGTGTTCATTTAGTGCGCTTTGTTGCCTATGGTGGAAAAAGAAATATCTTCAAATGAAAACTAGACAGAAACATTCTCAGAAACTCCTTTGTGAAGTGTGTGTCAAATTCACAGAATTGAAATATTCCTTTGATAGCGCAGCTTTGAAACACCGCTTTTATAGGATCTGCTTGTGGATATCTGGAGCTCTTTGAGGAATTTGTTGTAAACGGGATATCTTCACATACAAAGTAGACAGAAGCATTCTCAGAAACTGCTTTGTGATGTGTGCATTCCAATCACAGACTTCAACCTTTCTTTTGAAAGAGCAGTGTTCAAACACACATTTTGTAGGATGTGCAAGTGTTCACTTGGAGCGCTTTTTTGCCTATGGTGGAAAAAGAAATATCTTCACATAAATACTAGACAGAAGCATTCTCAGAAACGCCTTAGTGATGTGTTTGTTCTATTCAGAGAGTTGAACCTTTCTTTTGATAGAGCAGTTTTGATACACTGCTTCTGTAGAATCTGCTTGTGGATATTTGGAGCTCTTTGAGGAATTCGTTGTAAACGGGATATCTTCACATACAAACTAGACAGAAGCATTCTCAGAAACTGCTTTGTGGTGTGTGCATTCAACTCACAGAGTTGAACCTTCCTTCTGAGAGAGCAGTTTTTAAACAGTCTCTTTGAAATATCTGCAAGTGGATATTTGGAGCGATGGGAAGTCTAAGTTTGAAAAGGAAATATCCTCACATACAAACTAGACAGAAGCAATCTCATTAACTGCTTTGCGATGTGTGCATTCAGCTCACAGAGTTGAACCTTCCTTTTGAGAGAGCAGTTTTGAAACAGTTTTTTGTAGTATCCTCAAGTGGATATATGGAGCGATGTGAGGCTTAAGATGGAAACGGGAATATCTTCACATGCAAACTAGAAAGAAGCATTCTCAGAAACTGCTTTGTGATGGGTGCATTCAACTCAGAGACTTGAACATTTCTTTAGACGGAGCAGTGTTGAAACACACATATGCAGAATCTGCAAGAGTTCATTTGGAGCGCTTTGATGCCTATGGTGGAAAAAGAAATATCTTCACATAAAGACTAGAAAGAAGCGTTCTCCGAAACTCCTTTGTGATATATGTGTTCAGTTCACAGAGTTGAACCTTTCTTTTGATTGAGCAGTTTTGAAACACTGCTTTTCTAGAATCTGCTTTTGGATATTTGAAGCTCTTTGACGAATTCGCTGTCAATGTTATATCTTCACATACAAACTAGACAGAAGCATTCTCAGAAACTGCTTTTTGATGTGTGCATTCAACACACGGAGTTGAACCTTCCTTCTGAGAACAGTTTTGAAGCAGTCTTTTTGTGGTATCTGCAAGTCGATATTTGGAACGATTTGGGACCTATGAGGGAAAAGGAACTATCTTCACGTACAAGCTAGACAGAAGCATTCTCAGAAACTGCTTTGTGATGTGTGCATTCAACACACGGAGTTGAGCCTTCCTTCTGAGAGAACGGTTTTCAAACAGTCTTTTTGTAGTATCTGCAAGTCGATATTTGGAACGATTTGAGGCCTATGAGGGAAAAGGAACTATCTTCACATACAAACTAGACAGAAGCATGCTCAGAAACTGCTGTGTGATGTGTGCATTCAACTCACAGAGTTGAACCTTCCTTTTGAGAGAGACGTTTTGAAACAGTCTTTTTGTAGTATGTACAGGTGGATATTTTTGGTGCTTTGAGGTCTAAGATGGAAAAGGAAATACCTTCACCTACAAACTAGACAGAAGCATTCTCAGAAACTGCTTTGTGATGTGTGCATTAAACTTACAGACTTGAAACCTTATTTAGATAGAGCAGTGTTGAAACACACTTTTTATAGAATCTGCAAGTGTTCATTTGGAGAGCTTTGTTGCCTGTGGTGGAAAAAGAAATGTGTTCACATACAAACTAGAAAGAAGCCTTCTCAGAAACTCCTTTGAGATGTTTGTGTCCAATTCACAAAGTTGAACCTTTCTTTTGATAGAGCAGATTTGAAACACTGCTTTTGTAGAATCTGCTTGCATTTTTTTTGGAGGTCTTTGAGGAATTGGGCGTATACGGGATATCTTCACATACAAATTACACAGAAGCATTCTCAGAAACTGCTCTGTGATGTGTGCATTCCTCTCACAGAGTTGAAACTTTCTTTTGAGAAAGCTGTTCTGAAACAGTCTTTTTGTAGTATCTGCAAGTGGATATTTGGAGCGATTTGAGGCCTATGATGGAAAAGGAAATATGTTCACTTACAAACTAGACAGAAGCATTCTCAGAAACTGCTTTGTGATGTGTGTGTTCAATTCACAGGGTTGACTCTTTCTTTTGATTGAGCAGTTTTGAACCACCTGTTTTGTAGAATCTGCTTGTGGATATTTGTAGCTCTTGGAGGAATTCTTTGTAAAAGGGATATCTTCACATACACACTAGTCAGAAGCATTCTCAGAAACTTCTTTGTGATGTGTGAATTGAACTCACAGAGTTGAACCTTCCTTTTGAGAGAGCCGTTTTGAAACAATCTTTTTGAAGTATCTTCAATTGGATGTTTGTAGTGATTTGAGGCCTAAGATGGAAGAGGAAATATCTTCACATACAATCTAGACAGAAGCACTCTCAGAAGCTGCTTGGTGATGTCTGCATTCAACTCACAGACTTGAACCCTTGTTTTGAAAGAGCAGTGTTGAAACACACATTTTGTACGATCTGCAAGTGTTCATTTGGAACGCTGTTGTGCCTATGGTGGATAAAGAAATATCTTCACATAAATACTAGAAAGTAGCATTCTCAGAAACTGCTTTGTGATGTGTGCATTCAACTCACAGAGTTGAACCTTCCTTTTGAGAGAGAGGTTTTGAAACAGTCTTTTTGTAGTATCTGCAAGTGGATATTTTTAGTGATTTGAGGTCTAAGATGGAAAAGGAAATACCTTCACCTACAAACTAGACAGAAGCATTCTCAGAAACTGCTTTGTGATGTGTGCATTAAACTTACAGACTTGAAACTTTATTTTGATAGAGCAGTGTTGAAACACACTTTTTATAGAATCTGCAAGTGTTCATTTGGAGAGCTTTGTTGCCTGTGGTGGAAAAAGGAATATGTTCACCTAGAAACTAGAAAGAAGCCTTCTCAGAAACTCCTTTGAGATGTTTGTGTCCAATTCACAAAGTTGAACCTTTCTTTTGATAGAGCAGATTTGAAACACTGCTTTTGTAGAATCTGCTTGCGGATATTTGGCGGTCTTTTAGGAATTGGGCGTATACGGGAGATCTTCACATACAAGTTACACAGAAGCATTCTCAGAAACTGCTTTGTGATGTGTGCATTCAACTCACAGAGTTGAAACTTTCTTTTGAGAAAGCAGTTTTGAAACAGTCTTTTTGTAGTATCTGCAAGTGGATATTTGGAGCGATTTGAGGCCTATGATGGAAAAGGAAATATGTTCACATACAAACTAGACAGAAGCGTTCTGAGAAACTGCTTTGTGATGTGTGCATTCACCTCACAGAGTGGAACCTTTCTTTGGATAGAGCAGTTTTGAAACAGTCTTTCTCTAGTATCTGCAAGTGTTCATTTTGAGCGCTTTGAGGCCCATGATGGAAAAGGAAATATTTTCACATAAAAACTAGACAGAAGCTTTCTCAGGAACTTCATTGAGATGTGTGCATTAAAGTAACTGAGTTGAATACGTCTTTTGATAGAGCAGTATTGAAACACTTCTTTTGTAGAATCTGCCTGTGGATATCTGGAACTCTTTGAAGAATTCTTTGGAAACGGCTATCTTCACATAAAAAGTAGACCCAAGCATTCACAGAACGTTCTTTGTGACATGTACATTGGACTCCCAGACTTGAAACTTTCTTTTGATAGAGCAGTGTTGGAACACACTTTTTGTAGAATCTTCATGTGTTCGTTTGGAGTGCTCTGTTGCCTATGGTGGAAAAAGGAATATCTTCACCTAAAAACCAGACAGAAGCATTCTCAGAGACTGCTTTGTGATGTGTGTGTTCAATTCGCAGAGTTGAAAGTTGCTTTTGATAGAGCAGTTTTGAAACACTGCTTTTGTAGAATCTGCTTGTTGCTATTGGGGGCTCTTTGAGGAATTTGTTGTAAACGGGATATCTTCACATACAAAGTAGACAGAAGCATTCTCAGAAACTGCTCTGTGATGTGTGCATTCAACTCACAGAGTTGAACCTTCCTTTTGCGAGAGCTGTTTTGAAGCAGTCTTTTTGTGGTATCTGCAATTGGATATTTGGATCGATTTGAGGCCTAAGATGGAAAAGGAAATATCTTCACATACAAACTAGACAGAAGCATTCTCAGACACTGCGTTGTGATGTGTGCATTCAACTCACAGAGTTGAACCTTCCTTTTGAGAGCAGTTTTGAAACAGTCTTTTTGAAGTATCTGCAAGTGGATGTTTGGAGAGATTTGAGGCCTAAGATGGAAAAGGATATATCTTCACCTAAAAACTAGGCAGAAGCATTCTCAGAAACTGCTTTGTGATGTGGGGATTCAACTCACAGGCTTGAAACTTTCTTTTGATAGAGCAGGGTTGAAACACACTTTTTGTAGAATCTGCAAGTGTTCATTTGGAGTGCTTTCTTGCCCATGGTGGAAAAAGAAATATCTTCACGTAAAAACTAGACAGAAACATTCTCAGAAAATACTTTGTGATGTGGTTGTTCAATTCACAGGGTTGAACCTTTCTTTAGATAAAGCAGTTTTGAAACACTGCTTTTGTAGAATCTTCTTGTGGATATTTGGAGCTGTTTGAGGAATTCGTTTTAAACGGGATATCTTCACATTCAAACTAGTCAGAAGCATTCTCAGAAACTGGTTTGTGATGTGTGCATTCTACTCACAGAGTTGAACCTTCCTTTTGAGAGAGCAGTTTTGAAACAATCTTTTTGTATTCTCTACAAGTGGATACTTGGAGCAATGGGAGGACTAAGATTGAAAAGGAAATATCTTCACGGCCAAACTTGACAGAAGCTTTCTCAGAATCTGCTTTGTGATGTGTGCATTTACCTCACAGAGTGGAACCGTCCTTTTGATAGAGCAGTTCTGAAACAGTCTTTTTGTAGGATCTGCGAGTGTTCATTTTGGAGCGCTTTTAAGCCTTTGGCGGAAAAGGAAATATCTTCACAAAAAAACTAGACAGAGGCATGCTCAGGAACTTCACTGAGATGTGTGCATTCAAGTAACTGAGTTGAATCTGCCTTTTGATAGAGCAGAATTGAAACACTCCTTTTGTAGAATCTGCTTGTGGATATTTGGAACTCTTTCAGGAGTTCGTTGGCAGCTGGTATCTTCACAAAAAAAGGAGACCCAAGGATTCTCAAAAAGTTCCTTGAGATGTGTGCCTTAAACTCACAGACTTCAAACTTTCTTTTGAGAGATCAGTGTTGGAACACGCTTTTTGTAGAATCTGCAAGTGTTCATTTAGTGCGCTTTGTTGCCTATGGTGGAAAAAGAAATATCTTCAAATGAAAACTAGACAGAAACATTCTCAGAAACTCCTTTGTGAAGTGTGTGTCAAATTCACAGAATTGAAATATTCCTTTGATAGCGCAGCTTTGAAACACCGCTTTTATAGGATCTGCTTGTGGATATCTGGAGCTCTTTGAGGAATTTGTTGTAAACGGGATATCTTCACATACAAAGTAGACAGAAGCATTCTCAGAAACTGCTTTGTGATGTGTGCATTCCAATCACAGACTTCAACCTTTCTTTTGAAAGAGCAGTGTTCAAACACACATTTTGTAGGATGTGCAAGTGTTCACTTGGAGCGCTTTTTTGCCTATGGTGGAAAAAGAAATATCTTCACATAAATACTAGACAGAAGCATTCTCAGAAACGCCTTAGTGATGTGTTTGTTCTATTCAGAGAGTTGAACCTTTCTTTTGATAGAGCAGTTTTGATACACTGTTTCTGTAGAATCTGCTTGTGGATATTTGGAGCTCTTTGAGGAATTCGTTGTAAACGGGATATCTTCACATACAAACTAGACAGAAGCATTCTCAGAAACTGCTTTGTGGTGTGTGCATTCAACTCACAGAGTTGAACCTTCCTTCTGAGAGAGCAGTTTTTAAACAGTCTCTTTGAAATATCTGCAAGTGGATATTTGGAGCGATGGGAAGTCTAAGTTTGAAAAGGAAATATCCTCACATACAAACTAGACAGAAGCAATCTCATTAACTGCTTTGCGATGTGTGCATTCAGCTCACAGAGTTGAACCTTCCTTTTGAGAGAGCAGTTTTGAAACAGTTTTTTGTAGTATCCTCAAGTGGATATATGGAGCGATGTGAGGCTTAAGATGGAAACGGGAATATCTTCACATGCAAACTAGAAAGAAGCATTCTCAGAAACTGCTTTGTGATGGGTGCATTCAACTCAGAGACTTGAACATTTCTTTAGACGGAGCAGTGTTGAAACACACATATGCAGAATCTGCAAGAGTTCATTTGGAGCGCTTTGATGCCTATGGTGGAAAAAGAAATATCTTCACATAAAGACTAGAAAGAAGCGTTCTCCGAAACTCCTTTGTGATATATGTGTTCAGTTCACAGAGTTGAACCTTTCTTTTGATTGAGCAGTTTTGAAACACTGCTTTTCTAGAATCTGCTTTTGGATATTTGAAGCTCTTTGACGAATTCGCTGTCAATGTTATATCTTCACATACAAACTAGACAGAAGCATTCTCAGAAACTGCTTTTTGATGTGTGCATTCAACACACGGAGTTGAACCTTCCTTCTGAGAACAGTTTTGAAGCAGTCTTTTTGTGGTATCTGCAAGTCGATATTTGGAACGATTTGGGACCTATGAGGGAAAAGGAACTATCTTCACGTACAAGCTAGACAGAAGCATTCTCAGAAACTGCTTTGTGATGTGTGCATTCAACACACGGAGTTGAACCTTCCTTCTGAGAGAACGGTTTTCAAACAGTCTTTTTGTAGTATCTGCAAGTCGATATTTGGAACGATTTGAGGCCTATGAGGGAAAAGGAACTATCTTCACATACAAACTAGACAGAAGCATGCTCAGAAACTGCTGTGTGATGTGTGCATTCAACTCACAGAGTTGAACCTTCCTTTTGAGAGAGACGTTTTGAAACAGTCTTTTTGTAGTATGTACAGGTGGATATTTTTGGTGCTTTGAGGTCTAAGATGGAAAAGGAAATACCTTCACATACAAACTAGACAGAAGCATTCTCAGAAACTGCTTTGTGATGTGTGCATTAAACTTACAGACTTGAAACCTTATTTTGATAGAGCAGTGTTGAAACACACTTTTTATAGAACCTGCAAGTGTTCATTTGGAGAGCTTTGTTGCCTGTGGTGGAAAAAGAAATGTGTTCACATACAAACTAGAAAGAAGCCTTCTCAGAAACTCCTTTGAGATGTTTGTGTCTAATTCACAAAGTTGAACCTTTCTTTTGGTAGAGCAGATTTGAAACACTGCTTTTGTAGAATCTGCTTGCGTGTATTAGGAGGTCTTTGAGGAATTGGGCGTATACGGGATATCTTCACATACAAATTACACAGAAGCATTCTCAGAAACTGCTCTGTGATGTGTGCATTCAACTAACAGAGTTGAAACTTTCTTTGGAGAAAGCAGTTCTGAAACAGTCTTTTTGTAGTATCTGCAAGTGGATACTTGGAGCGATTTGAGGCCTATGATGGAAAAGGAAATATGTTCACTTACAAACTAGACAGAAGCATTCTCAGATACTGCTTTGTGATGTGTGTGTTCAATTCACAGGGTTGACTCTTTCTTTTGATTGAGCAGTTTTGAACCACCAGTTTTGTAAAATCTGCTTGTGGATATTTGTAGCTCTTGGAGGAATTCTTTGTAAAAGGGAGATCTTCACATACACACTAGTCAGAAGCATTCTCAGAAACTTCTTTGTGATATGTGAATTGAACTCACAGAGTTGAACCTTCCTTTTGAGAGAGCCGTTTTGAAACAATCTTTTTGAAGTATCTTCAATTGGATGTTTCTAGTGATTTGAGTCCTAAGATGGAAAAGGAAATATCTTCACATACAATCTAGAGAGAAGCACTCTCAGAAGCTGCTTGGTGATGTCTGCATTTAACTCACAGACTTGAACCCTTGTTTTGAAAGAGCAGTGTTGAAACACACATTTTGTACGATCTGCAAGTGTTCATTTGGAGCGCTTTTGTGCCTATGGTGGATAAAGAAATGTCTTCACATAAATACTAGACAGAAGCATTCTCAGAAACTGCTTTGTGATGTGTGCATTCAACTCACAGAGTTGAACCTTCCTTTTGAGAGAGAGGTTTTGAAACAGTCTTTTTGTAGTATCTGCAAGTGGATATTTTTAGTGATTTGAGGTCTAAGATGGAAAAGGAAATACCTTCACCTACAAACTAGACAGAAGCATTCTCAGAAACTGCTTTGTGATGTGTGCATTAAACTTACAGACTTGAAACTTTATTTTGATAGAGCAGTGTTGAAACACACTTTTTATAGAATCTGCAAGTGTTCATTTGGAGAGCTTTGTTGCCTGTGGTGGAAAAAGGAATATGTTCACCTAGAAACTAGAAAGAAGCCTTCTCAGAAACTCCTTTGAGATGTTTGTGTCCAATTCACAAAGTTGAACCTTTCTTTTGATAGAGCAGATTTGAAACACTGCTTTTGTAGAATCTGCTTGCGGATATTTGGCGGTCTTTTAGGAATTGGGCGTATACGGGAGATCTTCACATACAAGTTACACAGAAGCATTCTCAGAAACTGCTTTGTGATGTGTGCATTCAACTCACAGAGTTGAAACTTTCTTTTGAGAAAGCAGTTTTGAAACAGTCTTTTTGTAGTATCTGCAAGTGGATATTTGGAGCGATTTGAGGCCTATGATGGAAAAGGAAATATGTTCACATACAAACTAGACAGAAGCGTTCTGAGAAACTGCTTTGTGATGTGTGCATTCACCTCACAGAGTGGAACCTTTCTTTGGATAGAGCAGTTTTGAAACAGTCTTTCTCTAGTATCTGCAAGTGTTCATTTTGAGCGCTTTGAGGCCCATGATGGAAAAGGAAATATTTTCACATAAAAACTAGACAGAAGCTTTCTCAGGAACTTCATTGAGATGTGTGCATTAAAGTAACTGAGTTGAATACGTCTTTTGATAGAGCAGTATTGAAACACTTCTTTTGTAGAATCTGCCTGTGGATATCTGGAACTCTTTGAAGAATTCTTTGGAAACGGCTATCTTCACATAAAAAGTAGACCCAAGCATTCTCAGAAAGTTCTTTGTGATATGTACATTGGACTCCCAGACTTGAACCTTTCTTTTGATAGAGCAGTGTTGGAACACACTTTTTGTAGAATCTTCATGTGTTCGTTTGGAGTGCTTTGTTGCCTCTGGTGGAAAAAGGAATATCTTCACCTAAAAACCAGACAGAAGCATTCTCAGAGACTGCTTTGTGATGTGTGTGTTCAATTCGCAGAGTTGGAAGTTCCTTTTGATAGAGCAGTTTTGAAACACTGCTTTTGTAGAATCTGCTTGTTGCTATTGGGGGCTCTTTGAGGAATTTGTTGTAAACGGGATACCTTCACATACAAACTAGACAGAAGCATTCTCAGAAACTGCTCTGTGATGGGTGCATTCAACTCACAGAGTTGAACCTTCCTTTTGCGAGAGCTGTTTTGAAGCAGTCTTTTTGTGGTATCTGCAATTGGATATTTGGATCGATTTGAGGCCTAAGATGGAAAAGGAAATATCTTCACATACAAACTAGACAGAAGCATTCTCAGACACTGCGTTGTGATGTGTGCATTCAACTCACAGAGTTGAACCTTCCTTTTGAGAGCAGTTTTGAAACAGTCTTTTTGAAGTATCTGCAAGTGGATGTTTGGAGAGATTTGAGGCCTAAGATGGAAAAGGATATATCTTCACCTAAAAACTAGGCAGAAGCATTCTCAGAAACTGCTTTGTGATGTGGGGATTCAACTCACAGGCTTGAAACTTTCTTTTGATAGAGCAGGGTTCAAACACACTTTTTGTAGAATCTGCAAGTGTTCATTTGGAGTGCTTTCTTGCCCATGGTGGAAAAAGAAATATCTTCATGTAAAAACTAGACAGAAACATTCTCAGAAAATACTTTGTGATGTGGTTGTTCAATTCACAGGGTTGAACCTTTCTTTAGATAAAGCAGTTTTGAAACACTGCTTTTGTAGAATCTTCTTGTGGATATTTGGAGCTGTTTGAGGAATTCGTTTTAAACGGGATATCTTCACATTCAAACTAGTCAGAAGCATTCTCAGAAACTGGTTTGTGATGTGTGCATTCTACTCACAGAGTTGAACCTTCCTTTTGAGAGAGCAGTTTTGAAACAATCTTTTTGTATTCTCTACAAGTGGATACTTGGAGCAATGGGAGGACTAAGATTGAAAAGGAAATATCTTCACGGCCAAACTTGACAGAAGCTTTCTCAGAATCTGCTTTGTGATGTGTGCATTTACCTCACAGAGTGGAACCGTCCTTTTGATAGAGCAGTTCTGAAACAGTCTTTTTGTAGGATCTGCGAGTGTTCATTTTGGAGCGCTTTTAAGCCTTTGGCGGAAAAGGAAATATCTTCACAAAAAAACTAGACAGAGGCATGCTCAGGAACTTCACTGAGATGTGTGCATTCAAGTAACTGAGTTGAATCTGCCTTTTGATAGAGCAGAATTGAAACACTCCTTTTGTAGAATCTGCTTGTGGATATTTGGAACTCTTTCAGGAGTTCGTTGGCAGCTGGTATCTTCACAAAAAAAGGAGACCCAAGGATTCTCAAAAAGTTCCTTGAGATGTGTGCCTTAAACTCACAGACTTCAAACTTTCTTTTGAGAGATCAGTGTTGGAACACGCTTTTTGTAGAATCTGCAAGTGTTCATTTAGTGCGCTTTGTTGCCTATGGTGGAAAAAGAAATATCTTCAAATGAAAACTAGACAGAAACATTCTCAGAAACTCCTTTGTGAAGTGTGTGTCAAATTCACAGAATTGAAATATTCCTTTGATAGCGCAGCTTTGAAACACCGCTTTTATAGGATCTGCTTGTGGATATCTGGAGCTCTTTGAGGAATTTGTTGTAAACGGGATATCTTCACATACAAAGTAGACAGAAGCATTCTCAGAAACTGCTTTGTGATGTGTGCATTCCAATCACAGACTTCAACCTTTCTTTTGAAAGAGCAGTGTTCAAACACACATTTTGTAGGATGTGCAAGTGTTCACTTGGAGCGCTTTTTTGCCTATGGTGGAAAAAGAAATATCTTCACATAAATACTAGACAGAAGCATTCTCAGAAACGCCTTAGTGATGTGTTTGTTCTATTCAGAGAGTTGAACCTTTCTTTTGATAGAGCAGTTTTGATACACTGCTTCTGTAGAATCTGCTTGTGGATATTTGGAGCTACTTTGAGGAATTCGTTGTAAACGGGATATCTTCACATACAAACTAGACAGAAGCATTCTCAGAAACTGCTTTGTGGTGTGTGCATTCAACTCACAGAGTTGAACCTTCCTTCTGAGAGAGCAGTTTTTAAACAGTCTCTTTGAAATATCTGCAAGTGGATATTTGGAGCGATGGGAAGTCTAAGTTTGAAAAGGAAATATCCTCACATACAAACTAGACAGAAGCAATCTCATTAACTGCTTTGCGATGTGTGCATTCAGCTCACAGAGTTGAACCTTCCTTTTGAGAGAGCAGTTTTGAAACAGTTTTTTGTAGTATCCTCAAGTGGATATATGGAGCGATGTGAGGCTTAAGATGGAAACGGGAATATCTTCACATGCAAACTAGAAAGAAGCATTCTCAGAAACTGCTTTGTGATGGGTGCATTCAACTCAGAGACTTGAACATTTCTTTAGACGGAGCAGTGTTGAAACACACATATGCAGAATCTGCAAGAGTTCATTTGGAGCGCTTTGATGCCTATGGTGGAAAAAGAAATATCTTCACATAAAGACTAGAAAGAAGCGTTCTCCGAAACTCCTTTGTGATATATGTGTTCAGTTCACAGAGTTGAACCTTTCTTTTGATTGAGCAGTTTTGAAACACTGCTTTTCTAGAATCTGCTTTTGGATATTTGAAGCTCTTTGACGAATTCACTGTCAATGTTATATCTTCACATACAAACTAGACAGAAGCATTCTCAGAAACTGCTTTTTCATGTGTGCATTCAACACACGGAGTTGAACCTTCCTTCTGAGAACAGTTTTGAAGCAGTCTTTTTGTGGTATCTGCAAGTCGATATTTGGAACGATTTGGGACCTATGAGGGAAAAGGAACTATCTTCACGTACAAGCTAGACAGAAAGCATTCTCAGAAACTGCTTTGTGATGTGTGCATTCAACACACGGAGTTGAACCTTCCTTCTGAGAGAACAGTTTTCAAACAGTCTTTTTGTAGTATCTGCAAGTCGCTATTTGGAACGCTATGAGGCCTATGAGGGAAAAGGAACTATCTTCACATACAAACTAGACAGAAGCATGCTCAGAAACTGCTTTGTGATGTGTGTGTTCAATTCACAGGGTTGACTCTTTCTTTTGATTGAGCAGTTTTGAACAACCTGTTTTGTAGAATCTGCTTGTGGATATTTGTAGCTCTTGGAAGAATTCATTGTAAAAGGGATATCTTCACATACACACAAGTCAGAAGCATTCTCAGAAACTTCTTTGTGATTGTGAATTGAACTCACAGAGTTGATCCTTCCTTCTGAGAGAGCCGTTTTGAAACAATCTTTTTGAAGTATCTTCAATTGGATACTTGTAGTGATTTGAGGCCTAAGATGGAAAAGGAAATATCTTCACATACAATCTAGACAGAAGCACTCTCAGAAGCTGCTTGGTGATGTCTGCATTCAACTCACAGACTTTAACCCTTGTTTTGAAAGAGCAGTGTTGAAACACACATTTTGTAGGATCTGCAAGTGTTCATTTGGAGAGCTTTTGTGCCTATGGTGGAAAAAGCAATATCTTCACATAAATACTAGACAGAAGCATTCTCAGAAACTGCTTTGTGATGTGTGCATTCAACTCACAGAGTTGAACCTTCCTTTTGAGAGAGAGATTTTGAAACAGTCTTTTTGTAGTATCTGCAAGTGGATATTTTTAGTGATTTGAGGTGTAAGATGGAAAAGGAAATACCTTCACCTACAAACTAGACAGAAGCATTCTCAGAAACTGCTTGGTGATGTGTGCATTCAACTCACAGAGTTGAAACTTTCTTTTGAGAATGCAGTTTTGAAACAGTCTTCTTGTAGTATCTGCAAGTGGATATTTGGAGCGATTTGAGGCCTATGATGGAAAAGGAAATATGTTCACATACAAACTAGACAGAAGCGTTCTCAGAAACTGCTTTGTGATGTGTGCATTCACCTCACAGAGTGGAACCGTTCTTTGGATAGAGCAGTTTTGAAACAGTCTTTCTCTAGTATCTGCAAGTGTTCATTTTGAGCGCTTTGAGGCCCATGATGGAAAAGTTAATATTTTCACATAAACCTAGACAGAAGCTTTCTCAGGAATTTCATTGAGATGTGTGCATTAAGGTAACTGATTTGAATACGTCTTTTGATAGAGCAGTATTGAAACACTTCTTTTGTATAATCTGCCTGTGGATATCTGGAACTCTTTGAAGAATTCTTTGGAAACGGCTATCTTCACATAAAAACTAGACCCAAGCATTCTCAGAAAGTTCTTTGTGATATGTACATTGGACTCCCAGACTTGAACCTTTCTTTTGATAGAGCAGTGCTGGAACACACTTTTTGTAGAATCTTCATGTGTTCGTCTGGAGTGCTTTGTTGCCTATGGTAGAAAAAGGAATATCTTCACCTAAAAACAAGACAGAAGCATTCTCAGAGACTGCTTTGTGATGTGTGTGTTCAATTCGCTGAGTTGAATGTTCCTTTTGATAGAGCAGTTTTGAAACACTGCTTTTGTAGAATCTGCTTGTTGATATTGGGGGCTCTATGAGGAATTTGTTGTAAACGGGATATCTTCACATACAAAGTAGACAGAAGCATTCTCAGAAACTGCTCTGTGATGTGTACATTCAACTCACAGAGTTGAACCTTCCTTTTGCGAGAGCTGTTTTGAAGCAGTCTTTTTGTGGTATCTGCAATTGGATATTTGGATCGATTTGAGGCCTAAGATGGAAAAGGAAATATCTCCACATACAAACTAGACAGAAGCATTCTCACAAACTGCTCTGTGATGTGTGCATTCAACTCACAGAGTTGAGCCTTCCTTTTGAGAGCAGTTTTGAAACAGTCTTTTTGAAGTATCTGCAAGTGGATGTTTGGAGAGATTTGAGGCCTAAGATGGAAAAGGATATATCTTCATCTAAAAACTAGGCAGAAGCATTCTCAGAAACTGCTTTGTGATGTGGGGATTCAACTCACAGGCTTGAAATTTTCTTTTGATAGAGCAGGTTTGAAACACACTTTTCGTAGAATCTGCAAGTGTTCATTTGGAGTGCTTTCTTGCCCATGATGGAAAAAGAAATATCTTCACGTAAAAACTAGACAGAAACATTCTCAGAAAATACTTTGTGATGTAGTTGTTCAATTCACAGGGTTGAACCTTTCTTTAGATAAAGGAGTTTTGAAACACTGCTTTTGTAGAATCTTCTTGTGGATATTTGGAGCTGTTTGAGGAATTCGTTTTAAACGGGATACCTTCATATTCAATCTAGTCAGAAGCATTCTCAGAAACTGGTTTGTGATGTGTGCATTCTACTCACAGAGTTGAACCTTCCTTTTGAGAGAGCAGTTTTGAAACAATCTTTTTGTATTCTCTACAAGTGGATACTTGGAGCAATGGGAGGACTAAGATTGAAAAGGAAATATCTTCACGGCCAAACTTGACAGAAGCTTTCTCAGAATCTGCTTTGTGATGTGTGCATTTACCTCACAGAGTGGAACCGTCCTTTTGATAGAGCAGTTCTGAAACAGTCTTTTTGTAGGATCTGCGAGTGTTCATTTTGGAGCGCTTTTAAGCCTTTGGCGGAAAAGGAAATATCTTCACAAAAAAACTAGACAGAGGCATGCTCAGGAACTTCACTGAGATGTGTGCATTCAAGTAACTGAGTTGAATCTGCCTTTTGATAGAGCAGAATTGAAACACTCCTTTTGTAGAATCTGCTTGTGGATATTTGGAACTCTTTCAGGAGTTCGTTGGCAGCTGGTATCTTCACAAAAAAAGGAGACCCAAGGATTCTCAAAAAGTTCCTTGAGATGTGTGCCTTAAACTCACAGACTTCAAACTTTCTTTTGAGAGATCAGTGTTGGAACACGCTTTTTGTAGAATCTGCAAGTGTTCATTTAGTGCGCTTTGTTGCCTATGGTGGAAAAAGAAATATCTTCAAATGAAAACTAGACAGAAACATTCTCAGAAACTCCTTTGTGAAGTGTGTGTCAAATTCACAGAATTGAAATATTCCTTTGATAGCGCAGCTTTGAAACACCGCTTTTATAGGATCTGCTTGTGGATATCTGGAGCTCTTTGAGGAATTTGTTGTAAACGGGATATCTTCACATACAAAGTAGACAGAAGCATTCTCAGAAACTGCTTTGTGATGTGTGCATTCCAATCACAGACTTCAACCTTTCTTTTGAAAGAGCAGTGTTCAAACACACATTTTGTAGGATGTGCAAGTGTTCACTTGGAGCGCTTTTTTGCCTATGGTGGAAAAAGAAATATCTTCACATAAATACTAGACAGAAGCATTCTCAGAAACGCCTTAGTGATGTGTTTGTTCTATTCAGAGAGTTGAACCTTTCTTTTGATAGAGCAGTTTTGATACACTGCTTCTGTAGAATCTGCTTGTGGATATTTGGAGCTCTTTGAGGAATTCGTTGTAAACGGGATATCTTCACATACAAACTAGACAGAAGCATTCTCAGAAACTGCTTTGTGGTGTGTGCATTCAACTCACAGAGTTGAACCTTCCTTCTGAGAGAGCAGTTTTTAAACAGTCTCTTTGAAATATCTGCAAGTGGATATTTGGAGCGATGGGAAGTCTAAGTTTGAAAAGGAAATATCCTCACATACAAACTAGACAGAAGCAATCTCATTAACTGCTTTGCGATGTGTGCATTCAGCTCACAGAGTTGAACCTTCCTTTTGAGAGAGCAGTTTTGAAACAGTTTTTTGTAGTATCCTCAAGTGGATATATGGAGCGATGTGAGGCTTAAGATGGAAACGGGAATATCTTCACATGCAAACTAGAAAGAAGCATTCTCAGAAACTGCTTTGTGATGGGTGCATTCAACTCAGAGACTTGAACATTTCTTTAGACGGAGCAGTGTTGAAACACACATATGCAGAATCTGCAAGAGTTCATTTGGAGCGCTTTGATGCCTATGGTGGAAAAAGAAATATCTTCACATAAAGACTAGAAAGAAGCGTTCTCCGAAACTCCTTTGTGATATATGTGTTCAGTTCACAGAGTTGAACCTTTCTTTTGATTGAGCAGTTTTGAAACACTGCTTTTCTAGAATCTGCTTTTGGATATTTGAAGCTCTTTGACGAATTCGCTGTCAATGTTATATCTTCACATACAAACTAGACAGAAGCATTCTCAGAAACTGCTTTTTGATGTGTGCATTCAACACACGGAGTTGAACCTTCCTTCTGAGAACAGTTTTGAAGCAGTCTTTTTGTGGTATCTGCAAGTCGATATTTGGAACGATTTGGGACCTATGAGGGAAAAGGAACTATCTTCACATACAAGCTAGACAGAAGCATTCTCAGAAACTGCTTTGTGATGTGTGCATTCAACTCACAGAGTTGAACCTTCCTTTTGAGAGAGAGATTTTGAAACAGTCTTTTTGTAGTATCTGCAAGTGGATATTTTTAGTGATTTGAGGTGTAAGATGGAAAAGGAAATACCTTCACCTACAAACTAGACAGAAGCATTCTCAGAAACTGCTTTGTGATGTGTGCATTAAACTTACAGACTTGAAACTTTATTTTGATAGAGCAGTGTTGAAACACACTTTTTATAGAATCTGCAAGTGTTCATTTGGAGAGCTTTGTTGCCTGTGGTGGAAAAAGGAATATGTTCACCTAGAAACTAGAAAGAAGCCTTCTCAGAAACTCCTTTGAGATGTTTGTGTCCAATTCACAAAGTTGAACCTTTCTTTTGATAGAGCAGATTTGAAACACTGCTTTTGTAGAATCTGCTTGCGGATATTTGGCGGTCTTTTAGGAATTGGGCGTATACGGGAGATCTTCACATACAAGTTACACAGAAGCATTCTCAGAAACTGCTTTGTGATGTGTGCATTCAACTCACAGAGTTGAAACTTTCTTTTGAGAAAGCAGTTTTGAAACAGTCTTTTTGTAGTATCTGCAAGTGGATATTTGGAGCGATTTGAGGCCTATGATGGAAAAGGAAATATGTTCACATACAAACTAGACAGAAGCGTTCTGAGAAACTGCTTTGTGATGTGTGCATTCACCTCACAGAGTGGAACCTTTCTTTGGATAGAGCAGTTTTGAAACAGTCTTTCTCTAGTATCTGCAAGTGTTCATTTTGAGCGCTTTGAGGCCCATGATGGAAAAGGAAATATTTTCACATAAAAACTAGACAGAAGCTTTCTCAGGAACTTCATTGAGATGTGTGCATTAAAGTAACTGAGTTGAATACGTCTTTTGATAGAGCAGTATTGAAACACTTCTTTTGTAGAATCTGCCTGTGGATATCTGGAACTCTTTGAAGAATTCTTTGGAAACGGCTATCTTCACATAAAAAGTAGACCCAAGCATTCACAGAACGTTCTTTGTGACATGTACATTGGACTCCCAGACTTGAAACTTTCTTTTGATAGAGCAGTGTTGGAACACACTTTTTGTAGAATCTTCATGTGTTCGTTTGGAGTGCTCTGTTGCCTATGGTGGAAAAAGGAATATCTTCACCTAAAAACCAGACAGAAGCATTCTCAGAGACTGCTTTGTGATGTGTGTGTTCAATTCGCAGAGTTGAAAGTTGCTTTGGATAGAGCAGTTTTGAAACACTGCTTTTGTAGAATCTGCTTGTTGCTATTGGGGGCTCTTTGAGGAATTTGTTGTAAACGGGATATCTTCACATACAAAGTAGACAGAAGCATTCTCAGAAACTGCTCTGTGATGGGTGCATTCAACTCACAGAGTTGAACCTTCCTTTTGCGAGAGCTGTTTTGAAGCAGTCTTTTTGTGGTATCTGCAATTGGATATTTGGATCGATTTGAGGCCTAAGATGGAAAAGGAAATATCTTCACATACAAACTAGACAGAAGCATTCTCAGACACTGCGTTGTGATGTGTGCATTCAACTCACAGAGTTGAACCTTCCTTTTGAGAGCAGTTTTGAAACAGTCTTTTTGAAGTATCTGCAAGTGGATGTTTGGAGAGATTTGAGGCCTAAGATGGAAAAGGATATATCTTCACCTAAAAACTAGGCAGAAGCATTCTCAGAAACTGCTTTGTGATGTGGGGATTCAACTCACAGGCTTGAAACTTTCTTTTGATAGAGCAGGGTTCAAACACATTTTTGTAGAATCTGCAAGTGTTCATTTGGAGTGCTTTCTTGCCCATGGTGGAAAAAGAAATATCTTCACGTAAAAACTAGACAGAAACATTCTCAGAAAATACTTTGTGATGTGGTTGTTCAATTCACAGGGTTGAACCTTTCTTTAGATAAAGCAGTTTTGAAACACTGCTTTTGTAGAATCTTCTTGTGGATATTTGGAGCTGTTTGAGGAATTCGTTTTAAACGGGACATCTTCACATTCAAACTAGTCAGAAGCATTCTCAGAAACTGGTTTGTGATGTGTGCATTCTACTCACAGAGTTGAACCTTCCTTTTGAGAGAGCAGTTTTGAAACAATCTTTTTGTATTCTCTACAAGTGGATACTTGGAGCAATGGGAGGACTAAGATTGAAAAGGAAATATCTTCACGGCCAAACTTGACAGAAGCTTTCTCAGAATCTGCTTTGTGATGTGTGCATTTACCTCACAGAGTGGAACCGTCCTTTTGATAGAGCAGTTCTGAAACAGTCTTTTTGTAGGATCTGCGAGTGTTCATTTTGGAGCGCTTTTAAGCCTTTGGCGGAAAAGGAAATATCTTCACAAAAAAACTAGACAGAGGCATGCTCAGGAACTTCACTGAGATGTGTGCATTCAAGTAACTGAGTTGAATCTGCCTTTTGATAGAGCAGAATTGAAACACTCCTTTTGTAGAATCTGCTTGTGGATATTTGGAACTCTTTCAGGAGTTCGTTGGCAGCTGGTATCTTCACAAAAAAAGGAGACCCAAGGATTCTCAAAAAGTTCCTTGAGATGTCTGCCTTAAACTCACAGACTTCAAACTTTCTTTTGAGAGACCAGTGTTGGAACACGCTTTTTGTAGAATCTGCAAGTGTTCATTTAGTGCGCTTTGTTGCCTATGGTGGAAAAAGAAATATCTTCAAATGAAAACTAGACAGAAACATTCTCAGAAACTCCTTTGTGAAGTGTGTGTCAAATTCACAGAATTGAAATATTCCTTTGATAGCGCAGCTTTGAAACACCGCTTTTATAGGATCTGCTTGTGGATATCTGGAGCTCTTTGAGGAATTTGTTGTAAACGGGATATCTTCACATACAAAGTAGACAGAAGCATTCTCAGAAACTGCTTTGTGATGTGTGCATTCCAATCACAGACTTCAACCTTTCTTTTGAAAGAGCAGTGTTCAAACACACATTTTGTAGGATGTGCAAGTGTTCACTTGGAGCGCTTTTTTGCCTATGGTGGAAAAAGAAATATCTTCACATAAATACTAGACAGAAGCATTCTCAGAAACGCCTTAGTGATGTGTTTGTTCTATTCAGAGAGTTGAACCTTTCTTTTGATAGAGCAGTTTTGATACACTGCTTCTGTAGAATCTGCTTGTGGATATTTGGAGCTCTTTGAGGAATTCGTTGTAAACGGGATATCTTCACATACAAACTAGACAGAAGCATTCTCAGAAACTGCTTTGTGGTGTGTGCATTCAACTCACAGAGTTGAACCTTCCTTCTGAGAGAGCAGTTTTTAAACAGTCTCTTTGAAATATCTGCAAGTGGATATTTGGAGCGATGGGAAGTCTAAGTTTGAAAAGGAAATACCCTCACATACAAACTAGACAGAAGCAATCTCATTAACTGCTTTGCGATGTGTGCATTCAGCTCACAGAGTTGAACCTTCCTTTTGAGAGAGCAGTTTTGAAACAGTTTTTTGTAGTATCCTCAAGTGGATATATGGAGCGATGTGAGGCTTAAGATGGAAACGGGAATATCTTCACATACAAACTAGAAAGAAGCATTCTCAGAAACTGCTTTGTGATGGGTGCATTCAACTCAGAGACTTGAACATTTCTTTAGACGGAGCAGTGTTGAAACACACATATGCAGAATCTGCAAGAGTTCATTTGGAGCGCTTTGATGCCTATGGTGGAAAAAGAAATATCTTCACATAAAGACTAGAAAGAAGCGTTCTCCGAAACTCCTTTGTGATATATGTGTTCAGTTCACAGAGTTGAACCTTTCTTTTGATTGAGCAGTTTTGAAACACTGCTTTTCTAGAATCTGCTTTTGGATATTTGAAGCTCTTTGACGAATTCACTGTCAATGTTATATCTTCACATACAAACTAGACAGAAGCATTCTCAGAAACTGCTTTTTGATGTGTGCATTCAACACACGGAGTTGAACCTTCCTTCTGAGAACAGTTTTGAAGCAGTCTTTTTGTGGTATCTGCAAGTCGATATTTGGAACGATTTGGGACCTATGAGGGAAAAGGAACTATCTTCACGTACAAGCTAGACAGAAGCATTCTCAGAAACTGCTTTGTGATATGTGCATTCAACACACGGAGTTGAACCTTCCTTCTGAGAGAACAGTTTTCAAACAGTCTTTTTGTAGTATCTGCAAGTCGATATTTGGAACGCTTTGAGGCCTATGAGGGAAAAGGAACTATCTTCACATACAAACTAGACAGAAGCATGCTCAGAAACTGCTGTGTGATGTGTGCATTCAACTCACAGAGTTGAACCTTCCTTTTGAGAGAGACGTTTTGAAACAGTCTTTTTGTAGTATGTACAGGTGGATATTTTTGGTGATTTGAGGTCTAAGATGGAAAAGGAAATACCTTCACCTACAAACTAGACAGAAGCATTCTCAGAAACTGCTTTGTGATGTGTGCATTAAACTTACAGACTTGAAACCTTATTTTGATAGAGCAGTGTTGAAACACACTTTTTATAGAATCTGCAAGTGTTCATTTGGAGAGCTTTGTTGCCTGTGGTGGAAAAAGAAATGTGTTCACATACAAACTAGAAAGAAGCCTTCTCAGAAACTCCTTTGAGATGTTTGTGTCCAATTCACAAAGTTGAACCTTTCTTTTGATAGAGCAGATTTGAAACACTGCTTTTGTAGAATCTGCTTGCGTGTATTTGGAGGTCTTTGAGGAATTGGGCGTATACGGGATATCTTCACATACAAATTACACAGAAGCATTCTCAGAAACTGCTTCGTGATGTGGGCATTCAACTCACAGAGTTGAAACTTCCTTTTGAGAGAGCAGTTTTGAAACAGTCTTTTTGTAGTATCGGCAAGTGGATATTTGGAGCGATTTGTGGCCTATGATGGAAAAGGAAATATCTTCACATAAAAACTAGACAGAAGCATTCTCAGAAACTGCTTTGTGATGTGAGGATTCGACTCACAGGCTTGAAACTTTCTTTTGATAGAGCAGGGTTGAAACACACTTTTTGTAGAATCTGCAAGTGTTCATTTGGAGTGCTTTCCTTGCCCATGGTGGAAAAAGAAATATCTTCACGTAAAAACTAGACAGAAGCATTCTCAGAAACTGCTTTGTGATGGGTGCATTCAACTCAGAGACTTGAACATTTCTTTAGACGGAGCAGTGTTGAAACACACATTTGTAGAATCTGCAAGAGTTCATTTGGAGCGCTTTGATGCCTATGGTGGAAAAAGAAATATCTTCACATAAACACTAGAAAGAAGCATTCTCAGAAACTGCTTTGTGATGTGTGCATTCAACTCACAGCAGTTGAAACTTTCTTTTGAGAAAGCAGTTTTGAAACAGTCTTTTTGTAGTATCTGCAAGTGGATATTTGGAGCGATTTGAGGCCTATGATGGAAAAGGAAATATGTTCACATACAAACTAGACAGAAGCGTTCTGAGAAACTGCTTTGTGATGTGTGCATTCACCTCACAGAGTGGAACCTTTCTTTGGATAGAGCAGTTTTGAAACAGTCTTTCTCTAGTATCTGCAAGTGTTCATTTTGAGCGCTTTGAGGCCCATGATGGAAAAGGAAATATTTTCACATAAAAACTAGACAGAAGCTTTCTCAGGAACTTCATTGAGATGTGTGCATTAAAGTAACTGAGTTGAATACGTCTTTTGATAGAGCAGTATTGAAACACTTCTTTTGTAGAATCTGCCTGTGGATATCTGGAACTCTTTGAAGAATTCTTTGGAAACGGCTATCTTCACATAAAAAGTAGACCCAAGCATTCACAGAACGTTCTTTGTGACATGTACATTGGACTCCCAGACTTGAAACTTTCTTTTGATAGAGCAGTGTTGGAACACACTTTTTGTAGAATCTTCATGTGTTCGTTTGGAGTGCTCTGTTGCCTATGGTGGAAAAAGGAATATCTTCACCTAAAAACCAGACAGAAGCATTCTCAGAGACTGCTTTGTGATGTGTGTGTTCAATTCGCAGAGTTGAAAGTTGCTTTTGATAGAGCAGTTTTGAAACACTGCTTTTGTAGAATCTGCTTGTTGCTATTGGGGGCTCTTTGAGGAATTTGTTGTAAACGGGATATCTTCACATACAAAGTAGACAGAAGCATTCTCAGAAACTGCTCTGTGATGTGTGCATTCAACTCACAGAGTTGAACCTTCCTTTTGCGAGAGCTGTTTTGAAGCAGTCTTTTTGTGGTATCTGCAATTGGATATTTGGATCGATTTGAGGCCTAAGATGGAAAAGGAAATATCTTCACATACAAACTAGACAGAAGCATTCTCAGACACTGCGTTGTGATGTGTGCATTCAACTCACAGAGTTGAACCTTCCTTTTGAGAGCAGTTTTGAAACAGTCTTTTTGAAGTATCTGCAAGTGGATGTTTGGAGAGATTTGAGGCCCAAGATGGAAAAGGATATATCTTCACCTAAAAACTAGGCAGAAGCATTCTCAGAAACTGCTTTGTGATGTGGGGATTCAACTCACAGGCTTGAAACTTTCTTTTGATAGAGCAGGGTTCAAACACACTTTTTGTAGAATCTGCAAGTGTTCATTTGGAGTGCTTTCTTGCCCATGGTGGAAAAAGAAATATCTTCACGTAAAAACTAGACAGAAACATTCTCAGAAAATACTTTGTGATGTGGTTGTTCAATTCACAGGGTTGAACCTTTCTTTAGATAAAGCAGTTTTGAAACACTGCTTTTGTAGAATCTTCTTGTGGATATTTGGAGCTGTTTGAGGAATTCGTTTTAAACGGGATATCTTCACATTCAAACTAGTCAGAAGCATTCTCAGAAACTGGTTTGTGATGTGTGCATTCTACTCACAGAGTTGAACCTTCCTTTTGAGAGAGCAGTTTTGAAACAATCTTTTTGTATTCTCTACAAGTGGATACTTGGAGCAATGGGAGGACTAAGATTGAAAAGGAAATATCTTCACGGCCAAACTTGACAGAAGCTTTCTCAGAATCTGCTTTGTGATGTGTGCATTTACCTCACAGAGTGGAACCGTCCTTTTGATAGAGCAGTTCTGAAACAGTCTTTTTGTAGGATCTGCGAGTGTTCATTTTGGAGCGCTTTTAAGCCTTTGGCGGAAAAGGAAATATCTTCACAAAAAAACTAGACAGAGGCATGCTCAGGAACTTCACTGAGATGTGTGCATTCAAGTAACTGAGTTGAATCTGCCTTTTGATAGAGCAGAATTGAAACACTCCTTTTGTAGAATCTGCTTGTGGATATTTGGAACTCTTTCAGGAGTTCGTTGGCAGCTGGTATCTTCACAAAAAAAGGAGACCCAAGGATTCTCAAAAAGTTCCTTGAGATGTGTGCCTTAAACTCACAGACTTCAAACTTTCTTTTGAGAGATCAGTGTTGGAACACGCTTTTTGTAGAATCTGCAAGTGTTCATTTAGTGTGCTTTGTTGCCTATGGTGGAAAAAGAAATATCTTCAAATGAAAACTAGACAGAAACATTCTCAGAAACTCCTTTGTGAAGTGTGTGTCAAATTCACAGAATTGAAATATTCCTTTGATAGCGCAGCTTTGAAACACCGCTTTTATAGGATCTGCTTGTGGATATCTGGAGCTCTTTGAGGAATTTGTTGTAAACGGGATATCTTCACATACAAAGTAGACAGAAGCATTCTCAGAAACTGCTTTGTGATGTGTGCATTCCAATCACAGACTTCAACCTTTCTTTTGAAAGAGCAGTGTTCAAACACACATTTTGTAGGATGTGCAAGTGTTCACTTGGAGCGCTTTTTTGCCTATGGTGGAAAAAGAAATATCTTCACATAAATACTAGACAGAAGCATTCTCAGAAACGCCTTAGTGATGTGTTTGTTCTATTCAGAGAGTTGAACCTTTCTTTTGATAGAGCAGTTTTGATACACTGCTTCTGTAGAATCTGCTTGTGGATATTTGGAGCTCTTTGAGGAATTCGTTGTAAACGGGATATCTTCACATACAAACTAGACAGAAGCATTCTCAGAAACTGCTTTGTGGTGTGTGCATTCAACTCACAGAGTTGAACCTTCCTTCTGAGAGAGCAGTTTTTAAACAGTCTCTTTGAAATATCTGCAAGTGGATATTTGGAGCGATGGGAAGTCTAAGTTTGAAAAGGAAATATCCTCACATACAAACTAGACAGAAGCAATCTCATTAACTGCTTTGCGATGTGTGCATTCAGCTCACAGAGTTGAACCTTCCTTTTGAGAGAGCAGTTTTGAAACAGTTTTTTGTAGTATCCTCAAGTGGATATATGGAGCGATGTGAGGCTTAATTTGGAAACGGGAATATCTTTACATGCAAACTAGAAAGAAGCATTCTCAGAAACTGCTTTGTGATGGGTGCATTCAACTCAGAGACTTGAACATTTCTTTAGACGGAGCAGTGTTGAAACACACATATGCAGAATCTGCAAGAGTTCATTTGGAGCGCTTTGATGCCTATGGTGGAAAAAGAAATATCTTCACATAAAGACTAGAAAGAAGCGTTCTCCGAAACTCCTTTGTGATATATGTGTTCAGTTCACAGAGTTGAACCTTTCTTTTGATTGAGCAGTTTTGAAACACTGCTTTTCTAGAATCTGCTTTTGGATATTTGAAGCTCTTTGACGAATTCACTGTCAATGTTATATCTTCACATACAAACTAGACAGAAGCATTCTCAGAAACTGCTTTTTGATGTGTGCATTCAACACACGGAGTTGAACCTTCCTTCTGAGAACAGTTTTGAAGCAGTCTTTTTGTGGTATCTGCAAGTCGATATTTGGAACGATTTGGGACCTATGAGGGAAAAGGAACTATCTTCACATACAAGCTAGACAGAAGCATTCTCAGAAACTGCTTTGTGATGTGTGCATTCAACACACGGAGTTGAACCTTCCTTCTGAGAGAACGGTTTTCAAACAGTCTTTTTGTAGTATCTGCAAGTCGATATTTGGAACGATTTGAGGCCTATGAGGGAAAAGGAACTATCTTCACATACAAACTAGACAGAAGCATGCTCAGAAACTGCTGTGTGATGTGTGCATTCAACTCACAGAGTTGAACCTTCCTTTTGAGAGAGACGTTTTGAAACAGTCTTTTTGTAGTATGTACAGGTGGATATTTTTGGTGCTTTGAGGTCTAAGATGGAAAAGGAAATACCTTCACATACAAACTAGACAGAAGCATTCTCAGAAACTGCTTTGTGATGTGTGCATTAAACTTACAGACTTGAAACCTTATTTTGATAGAGCAGTGTTGAAACACACTTTTTATAGAATCTGCAAGTGTTCATTTGGAGAGCTTTGTTGCCTGTGGTGGAAAAAGAAATGTGTTCACATACAAACTAGAAAGAAGCCTTCTCAGAAACTCCTTTGAGATGTTTTTGTCTAATTCACAAAGTTGAACCTTTCTTTTGATAGAGCAGATTTGAAACACTGCTTTTGTAGAATCTGCTTGCGTGTATTTGGAGGTCTTTGAGGAATTGGGCGTATATGGGATATCTTCACATACAAATTACACAGAAGCATTCTCAGAAACTGCTCTGTGATGTGTGCATTCAACTAACAGAGTTGAAACTTTCTTTGGAGAAAGCAGTTCTGAAACAGTCTTTTTGTAGTATCTGCAAGTGGATACTTGGAGCGATTTGAGGCCTATGATGGAAAAGGAAATATGTTCACTTACAAACTAGACAGAAGCATTCTCAGAAACTGCTTTGTGATGTGTGTGTTCAATTCACAGGGTTGACTCTTTCTTTTGATTGAGCAGTTTTGAACCACCTGTTTTGTAGAATCTGCTTGTGGATATTTGTAGCTCTTGGAGGAATTCTTTGTAAAAGGGATATCTTCACATACACACTAGTCAGAAGCATTCTCAGAAACTTCTTTGTGATGTGTGAATTGAACTCACAGAGTTGAACCTTCCTTTTGAGAGAGCCGTTTTGAAACAATCTTTTTGAAGTATCTTCAATTGGATGTTTGTAGTGATTTGAGGCCTAAGATGGAATAGGAAATATCTTCACATACAATCTAGACAGAAGCACTCTCAGAAGCTGCTTGGTGATGTCTGCATTCAACTCACAGACTTGAACCCTTGTTTTGAAAGAGCAGTGTTGAAACACACATTTTGTACGATCTGCAAGTGTTCATTTGGAACGCTGTTGTGCCTATGGTGGATAAAGAAATATCTTCACATACAAACTAGACAGAAGCATGCTCAGAAACTGCTGTGTGATGTGTGCATTCAACTCACAGAGTTTCACCTTCCTTTTGAGAGAGAGGTTTTGAAACAGTCTTTTTGTAGTATGTACAGGTGGATATTTTTGGTGATTTGAGGTCTAAGATGGAAAAGGAAATACCTTCACCTACAAACTAGACAGAAGCATTCTCAGAAACTGCTTTGTGATGTGTGCATTAAACTTACAGACTTGAAACTTTATTTTGATAGAGCAGTGTTGAAACACACTTTTTATAGAATCTGCAAGTGTTCATTTGGAGAGCTTTGTTGCCTGTGGTGGAAAAAGGAATATGTTCACCTAGAAACTAGAAAGAAGCCTTCTCAGAAACTCCTTTGAGATGTTTGTGTCCAATTCACAAAGTTGAACCTTTCTTTTGATAGAGCAGATTTGAAACACTGCTTTTGTAGAATCTGCTTGCGGATATTTGGCGGTCTTTTAGGAATTGGGCGTATACGGGAGATCTTCACATACAAGTTACACAGAAGCATTCTCAGAAACTGCTTTGTGATGTGTGCATTCAACTCACAGAGTTGCACCTTCCTTTTGAGAGAGAGGTTTTGAAACAGTCTTTTTGTAGTATCTGCAAGTGGATATTTTTAGTGATTTGAGGTCTAAGATGGAAAAGGAAATACCTTCACATACAAACTAGACAGAAGCGTTCTCAGAAACTGCTTTGTGATGTGTGCATTCACCTCACAGAGTGGAACCGTTCTTTGGATAGAGCAGTTTTGAAACAGTCTTTCTCTAGTATCTGCAAGTGTTCATTTTGAGCGCTTTGAGGCCCATGATGGAAAAGGAAATATTTTCACATAAAAACTAGACAGAAGCTTTCTCAGGAACTTCATTGAGATGTGTGCATGAAAGTAACTGAGTGGAATACGTCTTTTGATAGAGCAGTATTGAAACACTTCTTTTGTAGAATCTGCCTGTGGATATCTGGAACTCTTTGAAGAATTCTTTGGAAACGGCTATCTTCACATAAAAAGTAGACCCAAGCATTCTCAGACAGTTCTTTGTGATATGTACATTGGACTCCCAGACTTGAACCTTTCTTTTGATAGAGCAGTGTTGGAACACACTTTTTGTAGAATCTTCATGTGTTCGTTTGGAGTGCTTTGTTGCCCATGGTGGAAAAAGGAATATCTTCACCTACAAACCAGACAGAAGCATTCTCAGAGACTGCTTTGTGATGTGTGTGTTCAATTCGCAGAGTTGAAAGTTGCTTTTGATAGAGCAGTTTTGAAACACTGCTTTTGTAGAATCTGCTTGTTGCTATTGGGGGCTCTTTGAGGAATTTGTTGTAAACGGGATATCTTCACATACAAAGTAGACAGAAGCATTCTCAGAAACTGCTCTGTGATGTGTGCATTCAACTCACAGAGTTGAACTTTCCTTTTGCGAGAGCTGTTTTGAAGCAGTCTTTTTGTGGTATCTGCAATTGGATATTTGGATCGATTTGAGGCCTAAGATGGAAAAGGAAATATCTTCACATACAAACTAGACAGAAGCATTCTCAGACACTGCGTTGTGATGTGTGCATTCAACTCACAGAGTTGAACCTTCCTTTTGAGAGCAGTTTTGAAACAGTCTTTTTGAAGTATCTGCAAGTGGATGTTTGGAGAGATTTGAGGCCTAAGATGGAAAAGGATATATCTTCACCTAAAAACTAGGCAGAAGCATTCTCAGAAACTGCTTTGTGATGTGGGGATTCAACTCACAGGCTTGAAACTTTCTTTTGATAGAGCAGGGTTGAAACACACTTTTTGTAGAATCTGCAAGTGTTCATTTGGAGTGCTTTCTTGCCCATGGTGGAAAAAGAAATATCTTCACGTAAAAACTAGACAGAAACATTCTCAGAAAATACTTTGTGATGTGGTTGTTCAATTCACAGGGTTGAACCTTTCTTTAGATAAAGCAGTTTTGAAACACTGCTTTTGTAGAATCTTCTTGTGGATATTTGGAGCTGTTTGAGGAATTCGTTTTAAACGGGATATCTTCACATTCAAACTAGTCAGAAGCATTCTCAGAAACTGGTTTGTGATGTGTGCATTCTACTCACAGAGTTGAACCTTCCTTTTGAGAGAGCAGTTTTGAAACAATCTTTTTGTATTCTCTACAAGTGGATACTTGGAGCAATGGGAGGACTAAGATTGAAAAGGAAATATCTTCACGGCCAAACTTGACAGAAGCTTTCTCAGAATCTGCTTTGTGATGTGTGCATTTACCTCACAGAGTGGAACCGTCCTTTTGATAGAGCAGTTCTGAAACAGTCTTTTTGTAGGATCTGCGAGTGTTCATTTTGGAGCGCTTTTAAGCCTTTGGCGGAAAAGGAAATATCTTCACAAAAAAACTAGACAGAGGCATGCTCAGGAACTTCACTGAGATGTGTGCATTCAAGTAACTGAGTTGAATCTGCCTTTTGATAGAGCAGAATTGAAACACTCCTTTTGTAGAATCTGCTTGTGGATATTTGGAACTCTTTCAGGAGTTCGTTGGCAGCTGGTATCTTCACAAAAAAAGGAGACCCAAGGATTCTCAAAAAGTTCCTTGAGATGTGTGCCTTAAACTCACAGACTTCAAACTTTCTTTTGAGAGATCAGTGTTGGAACACGCTTTTTGTAGAATCTGCAAGTGTTCATTTAGTGCGCTTTGTTGCCTATGGTGGAAAAAGAAATATCTTCAAATGAAAACTAGACAGAAACATTCTCAGAAACTCCTTTGTGAAGTGTGTGTCAAATTCACAGAATTGAAATATTCCTTTGATAGCGCAGCTTTGAAACACCGCTTTTATAGGATCTGCTTGTGGATATCTGGAGCTCTTTGAGGAATTTGTTGTAAACGGGATATCTTCACATACAAAGTAGACAGAAGCATTCTCAGAAACTGCTTTGTGATGTGTGCATTCCAATCACAGACTTCAACCTTTCTTTTGAAAGAGCAGTGTTCAAACACACATTTTGTAGCCTGTGCAAGTGTTCACTTGGAGCACTTTTTTGCCTATGGTGGAAAAAGAAATATCTTCACATAAATACTAGACAGAAGCATTCTCAGAAACTCCTTTGTGATGTGTTTGTTCTATTCAGAGAGTTGAACCTTTATTTTGATAGAGCAGAATTGAAACACTCCTTTTGTAGAATCTGCTTGTGGATATTTGGAGCTCTTTGAGGAATTCGTTGTAAAAGGGATATCTTCACATACAAACTAGACAGAAGCCATTCTCAGAAACTGCTTTGTGGTGTGTGCATTCAACTCACAGAGGTGAACCTTCCTTCTGAGATAGCAGTTTTTAAACAGTCTCTTTGAAATATCTGCAAGTGGATATTTGGAGCGATGGGAAGTCTAAGATTGAAAAGGAAATATCCTCACATACAAACTAGACAGAAGCAATCTCATTAACTGCTTTGCGATGTGTGCATTCAGCTCACAGAGTTGAACCTTCCTTTTGAGAGAGCAGTTTTGAAACAGTTTTTTGTAGTATCCTCAAGTGGATATATGGAGCGATGTGAGGCTTAAGATGGAAACGGGAATATCTTCACATGCAAACTAGAAAGAAGCATTCTCAGAAACTGCTTTGTGATGGGTGCATTCAACTCAGAGACTTGAACATTTCTTTAGACGGAGCAGTGTTGAAACACACATATGCAGAATCTGCAAGAGTTCATTTGGAGCGCTTTGATGCCTATGGTGGAAAAAGAAATATCTTCACATAAAGACTAGAAAGAAGCGTTCTCCGAAACTCCTTTGTGATATATGTGTTCAGTTCACAGAGTTGAACCTTTCTTTTGATTGAGCAGTTTTGAAACACTGCTTTTCTAGAATCTGCTTTTGGATATTTGAAGCTCTTTGACGAATTCGCTGTCAATGTTATATCTTCACATACAAACTAGACAGAAGCATTCTGAGAAACTGCTTTTTGATGTGTGCATTCAACACACGGAGTTGAACCTTCCTTCTGAGAACAGTTTTGAAGCAGTCTTTTTGTGGTACCTGCAAGTCGATATTTGGAACGATTTGGGACCTATGAGGGAAAAGGAACTATCTTCACATACAAGCTAGACAGAAGCATACTCAGAAACTGCTTTGTGATGTGTGCATTCAACTCACAGAGTTGAGCCTTCCTTTTGAGAGAGAGGTTTTGAAACAGTCTTTTTGTAGTATATACAAGTGGATATTTTTAGTGATTTGAGGTCTAATATGGAAAAGGAAATACCTTCACCTACAAACTAGACAGAAGCATTCTCAGAAACTGCTTTGTGATGTGTGCATTAAACTTACAGAGTTGAAACCTTATTTTGATATAGCAGTGTTGAAACACACTTTTTATAGAACCTGCAAGTGTTCATTTGGAGAGCTTTGTTGCCTGTGGTGGAAAAAGAAATGTGTTCACATACAAACTAGAAAGAAGCCTTCTCAGAAACTCCTTTGAGATGTTTGTGTCTAATTCACAAAGTTGAACCTTTCTTTTGATAGAGCAGATTTGCAACACTGCTTTTGTAGAATCTGCTTGCGTGTATTTGGAGGTCTTTGAGGAATTCGGCGTATACGGGATATCTTCACATACAAATTACACAGAAGCATTCTCAGAAACTGCTCTGTGATGTGTGCATTCAACTAACAGAGTTGAAACTTTCTTTGGAGAAAGCAGTTCTGAAACAGTCTTTTTGTAGTATCTGCAAGTGGATACTTGGAGCGATTTGAGGCCTATGATGGAAAAGGAAATATGTTCACTTACAAACTAGACAGAAGCATTCTCAGAAACTGCTTTGTGATGTGTGTGTTCAATTCACAGGGTTGACTCTTTCTTTTGATTGAGCAGTTTTGAACCACCTGTTTTGTAGAATCTGCTTGTGGATATTTGTAGCTCTTGGAGGAATTCTTTGTAAAAGGGATATCTTCACATACACACTAGTCAGAAGCATTCTCAGAAACTTCTTTGTGATGTGTGAATTGAACTCACAGAGTTGAACCTTCCTTTTGAGAGAGCCGTTTTGAAACAATCTTTTTGAAGTATCTTCAATTGGATGTTTGTAGTGATTTGAGGCCTAAGATGGAATAGGAAATATCTTCACATACAATCTAGACAGAAGCACTCTCAGAAGCTGCTTGGTGATGTCTGCATTCAACTCACAGACTTGAACCCTTGTTTTGAAAGAGCAGTGTTGAAACACACATTTTGTACGATCTGCAAGTGTTCATTTGGAACGCTGTTGTGCCTATGGTGGATAAAGAAATAACTTCACATAAATACTAGAAAGTAGCATTCTCAGAAACTGCTTTGTGATGTGTGCATTCAACTCACAGAGTTGCACCTTCCTTTTGAGAGAGAGGTTTTGAAACAGTCTTTTTGTATATCTGCAAGTGGATATTTTTAGTGATTTGAGGTCTAAGATGGAAAAGGAAATACCTTCACATACAAACTAGACAGAAGCATTCTCAGAAACTGCTTTGTGATGTGTGCATTAAACTTACAGACTTGAAACTTTATTTTGATAGAGCAGTGTTGAAACACACTTTTTATAGAATCTGCAAGTGTTCATTTGGAGAGCTTTGTTGCCTGTGGTGGAAAAAGGAATATGTTCACCTAGAAACTAGAAAGAAGCCTTCTCAGAAACTCCTTTGAGATGTTTGTGTCCAATTCACAAAGTTGAACCTTTCTTTTGATAGAGCAGATTTGAAACACTGCTTTTGTAGAATCTGCTTGCGGATATTTGGCGGTCTTTTAGGAATTGGGCGTATACGGGAGATCTTCACATACAAGTTACACAGAAGCATTCTCAGAAACTGCTTTGTGATGTGTGCATTCAACTCACAGAGTTGAAACTTTCTTTTGAGAAAGCAGTTTTGAAACAGTCTTTTTGTAGTATCTGCAAGTGGATATTTGGAGCGATTTGAGGCCTATGATGGAAAAGGAAATATGTTCACATACAAACTAGACAGAAGCGTTCTGAGAAACTGCTTTGTGATGTGTGCATTCACCTCACAGAGTGGAACCTTTCTTTGGATAGAGCAGTTTTGAAACAGTCTTTCTCTAGTATCTGCAAGTGTTCATTTTGAGCGCTTTGAGGCCCATGATGGAAAAGGAAATATTTTCACATAAAAACTAGACAGAAGCTTTCTCAGGAACTTCATTGAGATGTGTGCATTAAAGTAACTGAGTTGAATACGTCTTTTGATAGAGCAGTATTGAAACACTTCTTTTGTAGAATCTGCCTGTGGATATCTGGAACTCTTTGAAGAATTCTTTGGAAACGGCTATCTTCACATAAAAAGTAGACCCAAGCATTCACAGAACGTTCTTTGTGACATGTACATTGGACTCCCAGACTTGAAACTTTCTTTTGATAGAGCAGTGTTGGAACACACTTTTTGTAGAATCTTCATGTGTTCGTTTGGAGTGCTCTGTTGCCTATGGTGGAAAAAGGAATATCTTCACCTAAAAACCAGACAGAAGCATTCTCAGAGACTGCTTTGTGATGTGTGTGTTCAATTCGCAGAGTTGAAAGTTGCTTTGGATAGAGCAGTTTTGAAACACTGCTTTTGTAGAATCTGCTTGTTGCTATTGGGGGCTCTTTGAGGAATTTGTTGTAAACGGGATATCTTCACATACAAAGTAGGCAGAAGCATTCTCAGAAACTGCTCTGTGATGTGTGCATTCAACTCACAGAGTTGAACCTTCCTTTTGCGAGAGCTGTTTTGAAGCAGTCTTTTTGTGGTATCTGCAATTGGATATTTGGATCGATTTGAGGCCTAAGATGGAAAAGGAAATATCTTCACATACAAACTAGACAGAAGCATTCTCAGACACTGCGTTGTGATGTGTGCATTCAACTCACAGAGTTGAACCTTCCTTTTGAGAGCAGTTTTGAAACAGTCTTTTTGAAGTATCTGCAAGTGGATGTTTGGAGGGATTTCAGGCTTAAGATGGAAAAGGATATATCCTCACCTAAAAACTAGGCAGAAGCATTCTCAGAAACTGCTTTGTGATGTGGGGATTCAAATCACAGGCTTGAAACTTTCTTTTGATAGAGCAGGGTTGAAACACACATTTTGTAGAATCTGCAAGTGTTCATTTAGAGTGCTTTCTTGCCCATGCTTGAAAAAGAAATATCTTCACGTAAAAACTAGACAGAAGCAATCTCAGAAACTCCTTTGTGATTTGTGCGTTCAATTCACAGAGTTGAACCTTTCCTTTGAAAGAGCTGTTTTGAAACACTGCTTTGGTAGAATCTGCTTGTGGATATATGGATCTCTTTGACGAATTCGTTGTAAACGGTATATCTTTACATTCAAACTAGACAGAAGCATTCTCAGAAACTGCTTTGTGATGTGGGCATTCAACTCACAGAGTTGAAACTTCCTTTTGAGAGAGCAGTTTTGAAACAGTCTTTTTGTAGTATCGGCAAGTGGATATTTGGAGCGATTTGTGGCCTATGATGGAAAAGGAAATATCTTCACATAAAAACTAGACAGAAGCTTTCTCAGAATCTGCTTTGTGATGTGTGCATTTACCTCACAGAGTGGAACCGTCCCTTTTGATAGAGCAGTTCTGAAACAGTCTTTTTGTAGGATCTGCGAGTGTTCATTTTGGAGCGCTTTTAAGCCTTTGGCGGAAAAGGAAATATCTTCACAAAAAAACTAGACAGAGCCATGCTCAGGAACTTCACTGAGATGTGTGCATTCAAGTAACTGAGTTGAATCTGCCTTTTGATAGAGCAGAATTGAAACACTCCTTTTGTAGAATCTGCTTGTGGATATTTGGAAATCTTTCAGGAGTTCGTTGGCAGCTGGTATCTTCCCAAAAAAAGGAGACCCAAGCATTCTCAAAAAGTTCTTTGAGATGTGTGCCTTAAACTCACAGACTTCAAAGTTTCTTTTGAGAGATCAGTGTTGGAACACGCCTTTTGTAGAATCTGCAAGTGTTCATTTAGTGCGCTTTGTTGCCTACGGTGGAAAAAGAAATATCTTCAAATGAAAACTAGACAGAAACATTCTCAGAAACTCCTTTGTGAAGTGTGTGTCAAATTCACAGAATTGAAATATTCCTTTGATAGCGCAGCTTTGAAACACCGCTTTTATAGGATCTGCTTGTGGATATCTGGAGCTCTTTGAGGAATTTGTTGTAAACGGGATATCTTCACATACAAAGTAGACAGAAGCATTCTCAGAAACTGCTTTGTGATGTGTGCATTCCAATCACAGACTTCAACCTTTCTTTTGAAAGAGCAGTGTTCAAACACACATTTTGTAGGATGTGCAAGTGTTCACTTGGAGCGCTTTTTTGCCTATGGTGGAAAAAGAAATATCTTCACATAAATACTAGACAGAAGCATTCTCAGAAACGCCTTAGTGATGTGTTTGTTCTATTCAGAGAGTTGAACCTTTCTTTTGATAGAGCAGTTTTGATACACTGCTTCTGTAGAATCTGCTTGTGGATATTTGGAGCTCTTTGAGGAATTCGTTGTAAACGGGATATCTTCACATACAAACTAGACAGAAGCATTCTCAGAAACTGCTTTGTGGTGTGTGCATTCAACTCACAGAGTTGAACCTTCCTTCTGAGAGAGCAGTTTTTAAACAGTCTCTTTGAAATATCTGCAAGTGGATATTTGGAGCGATGGGAAGTCTAAGTTTGAAAAGGAAATATCCTCACATACAAACTAGACAGAAGCAATCTCATTAACTGCTTTGCGATGTGTGCATTCAGCTCACAGAGTTGAACCTTCCTTTTGAGAGAGCAGTTTTGAAACAGTTTTTTGTAGTATCCTCAAGTGGATATATGGAGCGATGTGAGGCTTAAGATGGAAACGGGAATATCTTCACATGCAAACTAGAAAGAAGCATTCTCAGAAACTGCTTTGTGATGGGTGCATTCAACTCAGAGACTTGAACATTTCTTTAGACGGAGCAGTGTTGAAACACACATATGCAGAATCTGCAAGAGTTCATTTGGAGCGCTTTGATGCCTATGGTGGAAAAAGAAATATCTTCACATAAAGACTAGAAAGAAGCGTTCTCCGAAACTCCTTTGTGATATATGTGTTCAGTTCACAGAGTTGAACCTTTCTTTTGATTGAGCAGTTTTGAAACACTGCTTTTCTAGAATCTGCTTTTGGATATTTGAAGCTCTTTGACGAATTCACTGTCAATGTTATATCTTCACATACAAACTAGACAGAAGCATTCTCAGAAACTGCTTTTTGATGTGTGCATTCAACACACGGAGTTGAACCTTCCTTCTGAGAACAGTTTTGAAGCAGTCTTTTTGTGGTATCTGCAAGTCGATATTTGGAACGATTTGAGGCCTATGAGGGAAAAGGAACTATCTTCACATACAAACTAGACAGAAGCATGCTCAGAAACTGCTGTGTGATGTGTGCATTCAACTCACAGAGTTGAACCTTCCTTTTGAGAGAGACGTTTTGAAACAGTCTTTTTGTAGTATGTACAGGTGGATATTTTTGGTGATTTGAGGTCTAAGATGGAAAAGGAAATACCTTCACCTACAAACTAGACAGAAGCATTCTCAGAAACTGCTTTGTGATGTGTGCATTAAACTTACAGACTTGAAACCTTATTTTGATAGAGCAGTGTTGAAACACACTTTTTATAGAATCTGCAAGTGTTCATTTGGAGAGCTTTGTTGCCTGTGGTGGAAAAAGAAATGTGTTCACATACAAACTAGAAAGAAGCCTTCTCAGAAACTCCTTTGAGATGTTTGTGTCCAATTCACAAAGTTGAACCTTTCTTTTGATAGAGCAGATTTGAAACACTGCTTTTGTAGAATCTGCTTGCGTGTATTTGGAGGTCTTTGAGGAATTGGGCGTATACGGGATATCTTCACATACAAATTACACAGAAGCATTCTCAGAAACTGCTCTGTGATGTGTGCATTCCTCTCACAGAGTTGAAACTTTCTTTTGAGAAAGCTGTTCTGAAACAGTCTTTTTGTAGTATCTGCAAGTGGATATTTGGAGCGATTTGAGGCCTATGATGGAAAAGGAAATATGTTCACTTACAAACTAGACAGAAGCATTCTCAGAAACTGCTTTGTGATGTGTGTGTTCAATTCACAGGGTTGACTCTTTCTTTTGATTGAGCAGTTTTGAACCACCTGTTTTGTAGAATCTGCTTGTGGATATTTGTAGCTCTTGGAGGAATTCTTTGTAAAAGGGATATCTTCACATACACACTAGTCAGAAGCATTCTCAGAAACTACTTTGTGATGTGTGAATTGAACTCACAGAGTTGAACCTTCCTTTTGAGAGAGCCGTTTTGAAACAATCTTTTTGAAGTATCTTCAATTGGATGTTTGTAGTGATTTGAGGCCTAAGATGGAAGAGGAAATATCTTCACATACAATCTAGACAGAAGCACTCTCAGAAGCTGCTTGGTGATGTCTGCATTCAACTCACAGACTTGAACCCTTGTTTTGAAAGAGCAGTGTTGAAACACACATTTTGTACGATCTGCAAGTGTTCATTTGGAACGCTGTTGTGCCTATGGTGGATAAAGAAATATCTTCACATAAATACTAGAAAGTAGCATTCTCAGAAACTGCTTTATGATGTGTGCATTCAACTCACAGAGTTGCACCTTCCTTTTGAGAGAGAGGTTTTGAAACAGTCTTTTTGTAGTATCTGCAAGTGGATATTTTTAGTGATTTGAGGTCTAAGATGGAAAAGGAAATACCTTCACCTACAAACTAGACAGAAGCATTCTCAGAAACTGCTTTGTGATGTGTGCATTAAACTTACAGACTTGAAACTTTATTTTGATAGAGCAGTGTTGAAACACACTTTTTATAGAATCTGCAAGTGTTCATTTGGAGAGCTTTGTTGCCTGTGGTGGAAAAAGGAATATGTTCACCTAGAAACTAGAAAGAAGCCTTCTCAGAAACTCCTTTGAGATGTTTGTGTCCAATTCACAAAGTTGAGCCTTTCTTTTGATAGAGCAGATTTGAAACACTGCTTTTGTAGAATCTGCTTGCGGATATTTGGCGGTCTTTTAGGAATTGGGCGTATACGGGAGATCTTCACATACAAGTTACACAGAAGCATTCTCAGAAACTGCTTTGTGATGTGTGCATTCAACTCACAGAGTTGAAACTTTCTTTTGAGAAAGCAGTTTTGAAACAGTCTTTTTGTAGTATCTGCAAGTGGATATTTGGAGCGATTTGAGGCCTATGATGGAAAAGGAAATATGTTCACATACAAACTAGACAGAAGCGGTCTGAGAAACTGCTTTGTGATGTGTGCATTCACCTCACAGAGTGGAACCTTTCTTTGGATAGAGCAGTTTTGAAACAGTCTTTCTCTAGTATCTGCAAGTGTTCATTTTGAGCGCTTTGAGGCCCATGATGGAAAAGGAAATATTTTCACATAAAAACTAGACAGAAGCTTTCTCAGGAACTTCATTGAGATGTGTGCATTAAAGTAACTGAGTTGAATACGTCTTTTGATAGAGCAGTATTGAAACACTTCTTTTGTAGAATCTGCCTGTGGATATCTGGAACTCTTTGAAGAATTCTTTGGAAACGGCTATCTTCACATAAAAAGTAGACCCAAGCATTCACAGAACGTTCTTTGTGACATGTACATTGGACTCCCAGACTTGAAACTTTCTTTTGATAGAGCAGTGTTGGAACACACTTTTTGTAGAATCTTCATGTGTTCGTTTGGAGTGCTCTGTTGCCTATGGTGGAAAAAGGAATATCTTCACCTAAAAACCAGACAGAAGCATTCTCAGAGACTGCTTTGTGATGTGTGTGTTCAATTCGCAGAGTTGGAAGTTCCTTTTGATAGAGCAGTTTTGAAACACTGCTTTTGTAGAATCTGCTTGTTGCTATTGGGGCCTCTTTGAGGAATTTGTTGTAAACGGGATATCTTCACATACAAACTAGACAGAAGCATTCTCAGAAACTGCTCTGTGATGTGTGCATTCAACTCACAGAGTTGAACCTTCCTTTTGCGAGAGCTGTTTTGAAGCAGTCTTTTTGTGGTGTCTGCAATTGGATATTTGGATCGATTTGAGGCCTAAGATGGAAAAGGAAATATCTTCACATGCAAACTAGACAGAAGCGTTCTCAGACACTGCGTTGTGATGTGTGCATTCAACTCACAGAGTTGAACCTTCCTTTTGAGAGCAGTTTTGAAACAGTCTTTTTGAAGTATCTGCAAGTGGATGTTTGGAGAGATTTGAGGCCTAAGATGGAAAAGGATATACCTTCACCTAAAAACTAGGCAGAAGCATTCTCAGAAACTGCTTTGTGATGTGGGGATTCAACTCACAGACTTGAAACTTTCTTTTGATAGAGCAGTGTTGAAACACACTTTTTGTAGAATCTGCAAGTGTTCATTTGGAGTGCTTTCTTCCCCATGGTGGAAAAAGAAATATCTTCACCTAAAAACTAGACAGAAACATTCTCAGAAAATACTTTGTGATGTAGTTGTTGAATTCACAGGGTTGAACCTTTCTTTAGATAAAGCAGTTTTGAAACACTGCTTTTGTAGAATCTTCTTGTGGATATTTGGAGCTGTTTGAGGAATTCGTTTTAAACGGGATATCTTCACATTCAAACTAGTCAGAAGCATCCTCAGAAACTGGTTTGTGATGTGTGCATTCTACTCACAGAGTTGAACCTTCCTTTTGAGAGAACAGTTTTGAAACAATCTTTTTGTACTATCTGCAAGTGGATATTTGGAACAATGGGAGGACTAAGATGGAAAAGGAAATATCTTCACAGCCAAACTTGACAGAAGCTTTCTCAGAATCTGCTTTGTGATGTGTGCATTCACCTCACAGAGTGGAACCGTCCTTTTGATAGAGCAGTTCTGAAACAGTCTTTTTGTAGGATCTGCGAGTGTTCATTTTGGAGAGCTTTTAAGCCTTTGGCGGAAAAGGAAATATCTTCACAGAAAACTAGACAGAGGCATGCTCAGGAACTTCATTGAGATGTGTGCATTCAAGTAACTGAGTTGAATCTGCCTTTTGATAGAGCAGAATTGAAACAATCCTTTTGTAGAATCTACTTGTGGATATTTGGAACTCTTTCAGGAATTCGTTGGTAGTTGGTATCTTCCCAAAAAAAGGAGACCCAAGCATTCTCAAAAAGTTCTTTGAGATGTGTGCCTTCAACTCACAGACTTCAAACATTCTTTTGAGAGATCAGTGTTGGAACACGCTTTTTGTAGAATCTGCAAGGGTTCATTTAGTGCGCTTTGTTGCCTATAGTGGAAAAAGAAATATCTTCAAATGAAAACTAGACAGAAACATTCTCAGAAACTCCTTTGTGAAGTGTGTGTCAAATTCACAGAATTGAAATTTTCTTATGATAGAGCAGTTTTGAAACACCGCATTTATAGGATCTGCTTGTGGATATTTGGAGCTCTTTGAGTATTTCGTTGTAAACGGGATATCTTCACATACAAACTAGACAGAAGCATTCACAGAAACTGCTTAGTGATGTGTGCATTCAACTCACAGACTTGAACCTTTCTCTTGAAAGAGCAGTGTTGAAACAAACATTTTGTAGGATGTGCAAGTGTTCACTTGGAGCGTTTTTTTGCCTATGGTGGAAAAAGAAATATCTTCACATAAATACTAGACAGAAGCATTCTCAGAAACTCCTTTTTGATGTGTTTGTTCTATTCAGAGAGTTGAACCTTTCTTTTGATAGAGCAGTTTTGATACACTGCTTCTGTAGAATCTGCTTGTGGATATTTGGAGCTCTTTGAGGAATTCGTTGTAAACGGGATATCTTCGCATACAAACTAGACAGCAGCATTCTCAGAAACTGCTTAGTGATGTGTGCATTCAACTCACAGACTTGAACCTTTCTCTTGAAAGAGCAGTGTTGAAACACACATTTTGTAGGATGTGCAAGTGTTCACTTGGAGCGTTTTTTTGCCTATGGTGGATAAAGAAATATCTTCACATACAAACTAGACAGAAGCAATCTCATTTACTGCTTTGTGATGTGTGCATTCAGCTCACAGAGTTGAACCTTCCTTTTGAGAGAGCAGTTTTGAAACAGTTTTTTGTAGTATCCTCAAGTGGATATATGGAGCGATGTGAGGCTTAACATGGAAACGGGAATATCTTCACATAGAAACTAGATAGAAGCATTCTCAGAAACTCCTTTGTGATGGGTGCATTCAACACAGAGACTTGAACATTTCTTTAGACGGAGCAGTGTTGAAACACACATTTGTAGAATCTGCAAGTGTTCATTTGGAGCGCTTTGATGCCTATGGTGGAAAAAGAAGTATCTTCACATAAAGACTAGAAAGAAGTGTTCTCCGAAACTCCTTTGTGATATGTGTGTTCAATGCACAGAGATGAACCTTTCTTTTGATTGAGCAGTTTTGAAACACTGCTTTTCTAGAATCTGCTTGTGGATATTTGGAGCTCTTTGAGGAATTCGCTGTCAATGGGATATCTTCACATACAAACTAGCCAGAAGCATTCTCAGAAACTGCTTTGTGATGTGTGCATTCAACACACGGAGTTGAACCTTCCTTGTGAGAGAAGAGTTTTCAAACAGTCTTTTTGTAGTACCTGCAAGTCGATATTTGGAACGATTTGAGGCCTATGAGGGAAAAGGAACTATTTTCACATACAAACTAGACAGAAGCATGCTCAGAAACTGCTTTGTGATGTGCGCATTCAACTCACAGAGTTGAACCTTCCTTTTGAGAGAGAGGTTTTGAAACAGTCTTTTTGTAGCATATACAAGTGGATATTTTTAGTGATTTGAGGTCTAATATGGAAAAGGAAATACCTTCACCTACAAACTAGACAGAAGCATTCTCAGAAACTGCTTTGTGATGTGTGCATTAAATGTACAGACTTGAAACCTTATTTTGATAGAGCAGTGTTGAAACACACTTTTTATAGAATCTGCAAGTGTTCATTTTGAGAGCTTTGTTGCCTGTGGTGGAAAAAGAAATGTGTTCACATACAAACTAGAAAGAAGCCTTCTCAGAAACTCCTTTGAGATGTTTGTGTCCAATTCACAAAGTTGAACCTTTCTATTGATACAGCAGATTTGAAACTCTGCTTTTGTAGAATCTGCTTGTGAATATTTGGAGGTATTTGAGGAATTGGACGTATACGGGATATCTTCACATACAAATTACACAGAAGCATTGTCAGAAACTGCTTTGTGCTGTGTGCATTCAACTCACAGAGTTGAAACTTTCTTTTGAGAAAGCAGTTCCGAAACAGTCTTTTTGTAGTATCTGCAAGTGGATATTTGGAGCGATTTGAGGCCTATGATGGAAAAGGAAATATGTTCACATACAAACTAGACAGAAGCGTTCTCAGAAACTGCTTTGTGATGTGTGCATTCACCTCACAGAGTGGAACCGTTCTTTGGATAGAGCAGTTTTGAAACAGTCTTTCTCTAGTATCTGCAAGTGTTCATTTTGAGCGCTTTTAGGCCCATGATGGAATAGGAAATATTTTCACATAAAAAGTAGACAGAAGCTTTCTCAGGAACTTCATTGAGATGTGTGCATTAAAGTAACTGAGTTGAATACGTCTTTTGATAGAGCAGTATTGAAACACTTATTTGTAGAATCTGCCTGTGGATATCTGGAACTCTTTGAAGAATTCTTTGGAAACGGCTATCTTCACATAAAAAGTAGACCCAAGCATTCTCAGAAAGTTCTTTGTGATATGTACATTGGACTCCCAGACTTGAACATTTCTTTTGATAGAGCAGTGTTGGAACACACTTTTTGTAGAATCTTCATGTGTTCGTTTGGAGTGCTTTGTTGCCTATGGTGGAAAAAGGAATATCTTCACCTAAAAACCAGACAGAAGCATTCTCCGAGACTGCTTTGTGATGTGTGTGTTCAATTCGCAGAGTTAAAAGTTCCTTTTGATAGAGCAGTTTTGAAACACTGCTTTTGTAGAATCTGCTTGTTGCTATTGGGGGCTCTTTGAGGAATTTGTTGTAAACGGGATATCTTCACATACAAAGTAGACAGAAGCATTCTCAGAAACTGCTTTGTGATGTGTGCATTCCAATCACAGACTTCAACCTTTCTTTTGAAAGAGCAGTGTTGAAACACACATTTTGTAGCATGTGCAAGTGTTCACTTGGAGCTCTTTTTTGCCTATGGGGAAAAAGAAATATCTTCACATAAATACTAGACAGAAGCATTCTCAGAAACGCCTTAGTGATGTGTTTGTTCTATTCAGAGAGTTGAACCTTTCTTTTGATAGAGCAGTTTTGATACACTGCTTCTGTAGAATCTGCTTGTGGATATTTGGAGCTCTTTGAGGAATTCGTTGTAAACGGGATATCTTCACATACAAACTAGACAGAAGCATTCTCAGAAACTGCTTTGTGGTGTGTGCATTCAACTCACAGAGTTGAACCTTCCTTCTGAGAGAGCAGTTTTTAAACAGTCTCTTTGAAATATCTGCAAGTGGATATTTGGAGCGATGGGAAGTCTAAGTTTGAAAAGGAAATATCCTCACATACAAACTAGACAGAAGCAATCTCATTAACTGCTTTGCGATGTGTGCATTCAGCTCACAGAGTTGAACCTTCCTTTTGAGAGAGCAGTTTTGAAACAGTTTTTTGTAGTATCCTCAAGTGGATATATGGAGCGATGTGAGGCTTAAGATGGAAACGGGAATATCTTCACATGCAAACTAGAAAGAAGCATTCTCAGAAACTGCTTTGTGATGGGTGCATTCAACTCAGAGACTTGAACATTTCTTTAGACGGAGCAGTGTTGAAACACACATATGCAGAATCTGCAAGAGTTCATTTGGAGCGCTTTGATGCCTATGGTGGAAAAAGAAATATCTTCACATAAAGACTAGAAAGGAAGCGTTCTCCGAAACTCCTTTGTGATATATGTGTTCAGTTCACAGGAGTTGAACCTTTCTTTTGATTGAGCAGTTTTGAAACACTGCTTTTCTAGAATCTGCTTTTGGATATTTGAAGCTCTTTGACGAATTCACTGTCAATGTTATATCTTCACATACAAACTAGACAGAAGCATTCTCAGAAACTGCTTTGTGATGTGTGCATTCAACACACGGAATTGAACCTTCCTTCTGAGAGAACAGTTTTCAAACAGTCTTTTTGTAGTATCTGCAAGTCGATATTTGGAACGCTTTGAGGCCTATGAGGGAAAAGGAACTATCTTCACATACAAACTAGACAGAAGCATTCTCAGAAACTGCTTTGTGATGTGTGCATTCAACACACGGAGTTGAACCTTCCTTCTGAGAGAACGGTTTTCAAACAGTCTTTTTGTAGTATCTGCAAGTCGATATTTGGAACGATTTGAGGCCTATGAGGGAAAAGGAACTATCTTCACATACAAACTAGACAGAAGCATGCTCAGAAACTGCTGTGTGATGTGTGCATTCAACTCACAGAGTTGAACCTTCCTTTTGAGAGAGACGTTTTGAAACAGTCTTTTTGTAGTATGTACAGGTGGATATTTTTGGTGCTTTGAGGTCTAAGATGGAAAAGGAAATACCTTCACCTACAAACTAGACAGAAGCATTCTCAGAAACTGCTTTGTGATGTGTGCATTAAACTTACAGACTTGAAACCTTATTTTGATAGAGCAGTGTTGAAACACACTTTTTATAGAATCTGCAAGTGTTCATTTGGAGAGCTTTGTTGCCTGTGGTGGAAAAAGAAATGTGTTCACATACAAACTAGAAAGAATCCTTCTCAGAAACTCCTTTGAGATGTTTGTGTCCAATTCACAAAGTTGAACCTTTCTTTTTATAGAGCAGATTTGAAACACTGCTTTTGTAGAATCTGCTTGCGTGTATTTGGAGGTCTTTGAGGAATTGGGCGTATACGGGATATCTTCACATACAAATTACACAGAAGCATTCTCAGAAACTGCTCTGTGATGTGTGCATTCAACTCACACAGTTGAAAGTTTCTTTTGAGAAAGCAGTTCTGAAATAGTCTTTTGTAGTATCTGCAAGTGGATATTTGGAGCGATTTTAGGCCTATGATGGAAAAGGAAATATGTTCACATACAAACTAGACAGAAGAGTTCTCAGAAACTGCTTTGTGATGTGTGTGTTCAATTCACAGGGTCGACTCTTTCTTTTGATTGAGCAGTTTTCAACCACCTGTTTTGTAGAATCTGCTTGTGGATATTTGTAGCTCTTGGAGGAATTCTTTGTAAAAGGGATATCTTCACATACACACTAGTCAGAAGCATTCTCAGAAACTTCTTTGTGATGTGTGAATTGAAATCACAGAGTTGAACCTTCCTTTTGAGAGAGCCGTTTTGAAACAATCTTTTTGAAGTACCTTCAATTGCATGTTTGTAGTGATTTGAGGCCTAAGATGGAAAAGGAAATATCTTCACATACAATCTAGACAGAGGCACTCTCAGAAGCTGCTTGGTGATGTCTGCATTCAACTCACAGACTTGAACCCTTGTTTTGAAAGAGCAGTGTTGAAACACACATTTTGTACGATCTGCAAGTGTTCATTTGGAGCGCTTTTGTGCCTATGGTGGATAAAGAAATATCTTCACATAAATACTAGACAGAAGCATTCTCAGAAACTGCTTTGTGATGTGTGCATTCAACTCACAGCAGTTGAACCTTCCTTTTGAGAGAGAGGTTTTGAAACAGTCTTTTTGTAGTATCTGCAAGTGGATATTTTTAGTGATTTGAGGTCTAAGATGGAAAAGGAAATACCTTCACCTACAAACTAGACAGAAGCATTCTCAGAAACTGCTTTGTGATGTGTGCATTAAACTTACAGACTTGAAACTTTATTTTGATAGAGCAGTGTTGAAACACACTTTTTATAGAATCTGCAAGTGTTCATTTGGAGAGCTTTGTTGCCTGTGGTGGAAAAAGGAATATGTTCACCTAGAAACTAGAAAGAAGCCTTCTCAGAAACTCCTTTGAGATGTTTGTGTCCAATTCACAAAGTTGAACCTTTCTTTTGATAGAGCAGATTTGAAACACTGCTTTTGTAGAATCTGCTTGCGGATATTTGGCGGTCTTTTAGGAATTGGGCGTATACGGGAGATCTTCACATACAAGTTACACAGAAGCATTCTCAGAAACTGCTTTGTGATGTGTGCATTCAACTCACAGAGTTGAAACTTTCTTTTGAGAAAGCAGTTTTGAAACAGTCTTTTTGTAGTATCTGCAAGTGGATATTTGGAGCGATTTGAGGCCTATGATGGAAAAGGAAATATGTTCACATACAAACTAGACAGATGCGTTCTGAGAAACTGCTTTGTGATGTGTGCATTCACCTCACAGAGTGGAACCGTTCTTTGGATAGAGCAGTTTTGAAACAGTCTTTCTCTAGTATCTGCAAGTGTTCATTTTGAGCGCTTTGAGGCCCATGATGGAAAAGGAAATATTTTCACATAAAAACTAGACAGAAGCTTTCTCAGGAACTTCATTGAGATGTGTGCATTAAAGTAACTGAGTGGAATACGTCTTTTGATAGAGCAGTATTGAAACACTTCTTTTGTAGAATCTGCCTGTGGATATCTGGAACTCTTTGAAGAATTCTTTGGAAACGGCTATCTTCACATAAAAAGTAGACCCAAGCATTCACAGAACGTTCTTTGTGACATGTACATTGGACTCCCAGACTTGAAACTTTCTTTTGATAGAGCAGTGTTGGAACACACTTTTTGTAGAATCTTCATGTGTTCGTTTGGAGTGCTCTGTTGCCTATGGTGGAAAAAGGAATATCTTCACCTAAAAACCAGACAGAAGCATTCTCAGAGACTGCTTTGTGATGTGTGTGTTCAATTCGCAGAGTTGAAAGTTGCTTTGGATAGAGCAGTTTTGAAACACTGCTTTTGTAGAATCTGCTTGTTGCTATTGGGGGCTCTTTGAGGAATTTGTTGTAAACGGGATATCTTCACATACAAAGTAGACAGAAGCATTCTCAGAAACTGCTCTGTGATGTGTGCATTCAACTCACAGAGTTGAACTTTCCTTTTGCGAGAGCTGTTTTGAAGCAGTCTTTTTGTGGTATCTGCAATTGGATATTTGGATCGATTTGAGGCCTAAGATGGAAAAGGAAATATCTTCACATACAAACTAGACAGAAGCATTCTCAGACACTGCGTTGTGATGTGTGCATTCAACTCACAGAGTTGAACCTTCCTTTTGAGAGTAGTTTTGAAACAGTCTTTTTGAAGTATCTGCAAGTGGATGTTGGAGAGATTTGAGGCCTAAGATGGAAAAGGATATATCTTCACCTAAAAACTAGGCAGAAGCATTCTCAGAAACTGCTTTGTGATGTGGGGATTCAACTCACAGGCTTGAAACTTTCTTTTGATAGAGCAGGGTTGAAACACACTTTTTGTAGAATCTGCAAGTGTTCATTTGGAGTGCTTCCTTTCCCATGGTGGAAAAAGAAATATCTTCACGTAAAAACTAGACAGAAACATTCTCAGAAAATACTTTGTGATGTAGTTGTTCAATTCACAGGGTTGAACCTTTCTTTAGATGAAGCAGTTTTGAAACACTGCTTTTGTAGAATCTTCTTGTGGATATTTGGAGCTGTTTGAGGAATTCGTTTTAAACGGGATACCTTCACATTCAAACTAGTCAGAAGCATTCTCAGAAACTGGTTTCTGATGTGTGCATTCTACTCACAGAGTTGAACCTTCCTTCTGAGAGAGCAGTTTTTAAACAGCCTCTTTGAAATATCTGCAAGTGGATATTTGGAGCGATGGGAAGTCTAAGATTGAAAAGGAAATATCCTCACATACAAACTAGACAGAAGCAATCTCATTAACTTCTTTGTGATGTGTGCATTCAGCTCACAGAGTTGAACCTTCCTTTTGAGAGAGCAGTTTTGAAACAGTTTTTTGTAGTATCCTCAAGTGGATATATGGAGCGACGTGAGGCTAAAGATGGAAACGGGAATATCTTCACATACAAACTAGATAGAAGCATTCTCAGAAACTGCTTTGTGATGGGTGCATTCAACACAGAGACTTGAACATTTCTTTAGACGGGGCAGTGTTGAAACACAAATTTGTAGAATCTGCAAGAGTTCCTTTGGAACGCTTTGATGCCTATGGTGGAAAAAGAAATATCTTCACATAAAGACTCGAAAGAAGCGTTCTCCGAAACTCTTTGTGATATGTGTGTTCAGTTCACAGAGTTGAACCTTTCTTTTGTTTGAGCAGTTTTGAAACACTGCTTTTCTAGAATCTGCTTGTGGATGTTTGGAGCTCTTTGAGGGATTCGCTGTCAATGGGATATCTTCACATACAAACTAGACAGAAGCATTCTCAGAAACTGCTTTGTGATGTGTGCATTCAACACACGGAGTTGAACCTTCCTTCTGAGAGAACGGTTTTCAAACAGTCTTTTTGTAGTATCTGCAAGTCGATATTTGGTACGATTTGAGGCCTATGAGGGAAAAGGAACTATCTTAACATACAAACTAGACAGAAGCATGCTCAGAAACTGCTTTGTGATGTGAGCATTCAACTCACAGATTTGAACCTTCCTTTTGAGAGAGACGTTTTGAAACACTCTTTTTGTAGTATACACAAGTGCATATTTTTAGTGATTTGAGGTCTAAGATGGAAAAGGAAATACCTTCACCTACAAACTAGACAGAAGCATTCTCAGAAACTGCTTTGTGATGTGTGCATTAAACTTACAGACTTGAAACCTTATTTTGATAGAGCAGTGTTGAAACACACTTTTTATAGAATCTGCAAGTGTTCATTTGGAGAGCTTTGTTGCCTGTGGTGGAAAAAGAAATGTGTTCACATACAAACTAGAAAGAAGCCTTCTCAGAAACTCCTTTGAGATGTTTGTGTCCAATTCACAAAGTTGAACCTTTCTTTTGATAGAGCAGATTTGAAACACTGCTTTTGTAGAATCTGCTTGCATGTATTTGGAGGTCTTTGAGGAATTGGGCGTATACGGGATATCTTCACATACAAATTACACAGAAGCATTCTCAGAAACTGCTCTGTGATGTGTGCATTCCTCTCACAGAGTTGAAACTTTCTTTTGAGAAATCTGTTCTGAAACAGTCTTTTTGTAGTATCTGCAAGTGGATATTTGGAGCGATTTGAGGCCTATGATGGAAAAGGAAATATGTTCACTTACAAACTAGACAGAAGCATTCTCAGAAACTGCTTTGTGATGTGTGTGTTCAATTCACAGGGTTGACTCTTTCTTTTGATTGAGCAGTTTTGAACCACCTGTTTTGTAGAATCTGCTTGTGGATATTTGTAGCTCTTGGAGGAATTCTTTGTAAAAGGGATATCTTCACATACACACTAGTCAGAAGCATTCTCAGAAACTTCTTTGTGATGTGTGAATTGAACTCACAGAGTTGAACCTTCCTTTTGAGAGAGCCGTTTTGAAACAATCTTTTTGAAGTATCTTCAATTGGATGTTTGTAGTGATTTGAGGCCTAAGATGGAAGAGGAAATATCTTCACATACAATCTAGACAGAAGCACTCTCAGAAGCTGCTTGGTGATGTCTGCATTCAACTCACAGACTTGAACCCTTGTTTTGAAAGAGCAGTGTTGAAACACACATTTTGTACGATCTGCAAGTGTTCATTTGGAACGCTGTTGTGCCTATGGTGGATAAAGAAATATCTTCACATAAATACTAGAAAGTAGCATTCTCAGAAACTGCTTTGTGATGTGTGCATTCAACTCACAGAGTTGAACCTTCCTTTTGAGAGAGAGGTTTTGAAACAGTCTTTTTGTAGTATCTGCAAGTGGATATTTTTAGTGATTTGAGGTCTAAGATGGAAAAGGAAATACCTTCACCTACAAACTAGACAGAAGCATTCTCAGAAACTGCTTTGTGATGTGTGCATTAAACTTACAGACTTGAAACTTTATTTTGATAGAGCAGTGTTGAAACACACTTTTTATAGAATCTGCAAGTGTTCATTTGGAGAGCTTTGTTGCCTGTGGTGGAAAAAGGAATATGTTCACCTAGAAACTAGAAAGAAGCCTTCTCAGAAACTCCTTTGAGATGTTTGTGTCCAATTCACAAAGTTGAACCTTTCTTTTGATAGAGCAGATTTGAAACACTGCTTTTGTAGAATCTGCTTGCGGATATTTGGCGGTCTTTTAGGAATTGGGCGTATACGGGAGATCTTCACATACAAGTTACACAGAAGCATTCTCAGAAACTGCTTTGTGATGTGTGCATTCAACTCACAGAGTTGAAACTTTCTTTTGAGAAAGCAGTTTTGAAACAGTCTTTTTGTAGTATCTGCAAGTGGATATTTGGAGCGATTTGAGGCCTATGATGGAAAAGGAAATATGTTCACATACAAACTAGACAGAAGCGTTCTGAGAAACTGCTTTGTGATGTGTGCATTCACCTCACAGAGTGGAACCTTTCTTTGGATAGAGCAGTTTTGAAACAGTCTTTCTCTAGTATCTGCAAGTGTTCATTTTGAGCGCTTTGAGGCCCATGATGGAAAAGGAAATATTTTCACATAAAAACTAGACAGAAGCTTTCTCAGGAACTTCATTGAGATGTGTGCATTAAAGTAACTGAGTTGAATACGTCTTTTGATAGAGCAGTATTGAAACACTTCTTTTGTAGAATCTGCCTGTGGATATCTGGAACTCTTTGAAGAATTCTTTGGAAACGGCTATCTTCACATAAAAAGTAGACCCAAGCATTCACAGAACGTTCTTTGTGACATGTACATTGGACTCCCAGACTTGAAACTTTCTTTTGATAGAGCAGTGTTGGAACACACTTTTTGTAGAATCTTCATGTGTTCGTTTGGAGTGCTCTGTTGCCTATGGTGGAAAAAGGAATATCTTCACCTAAAAACCAGACAGAAGCATTCTCAGAGACTGCTTTGTGATGTGTGTGTTCAATTCGCAGAGTTGAAAGTTGCTTTTGATAGAGCAGTTTTGAAACACTGCTTTTGTAGAATCTGCTTGTTGCTATTGGGGGCTCTTTGAGGAATTTGTTGTAAACGGGATATCTTCACATACAAAGTAGACAGAAGCATTCTCAGAAACTGCTCTGTGATGTGTGCATTCAACTCACAGAGTTGAACCTTCCTTTTGCGAGAGCTGTTTTGAAGCAGTCTTTTTGTGGTATCTGCAATTGGATATTTGGATCGATTTGAGGCCTAAGATGGAAAAGGAAATATCTCCACATACAAACTAGACAGAAGCATTCTCAGACACTGCGTTGTGATGTGTGCATTCAACTCACAGAGTTGAACCTTCCTTTTGAGAGCAGTTTTGAAACAGTCTTTTTGAAGTATCTGCAAGTGGATGTTTGGAGAGATTTGAGGCCTAAGATGGAAAAGGATATATCTTCACCTAAAAACTAGGCAGAAGCATTCTCAGAAACTGCTTTGTGATGTGAGGATTCGACTCACAGGCTTGAAACTTTCTTTTGATAGAGCAGGGTTGAAACACACTTTTTGTAGAATCTGCAAGTGTTCATTTGGAGTGCTTTCCTTGCCCATGGTGGAAAAAGAAATATCTTCACGTAAAAACTAGACAGAAACATTCTCAGAAAATACTTTGTGATGTGGTTGTTCAATTCACAGGGTTGAACCTTTCTTTAGATAAAGCAGTTTTGAAACACTGCTTTTGTAGAATCTTCTTGTGGATATTTGGAGCTGTTTGAGGAATTCGTTTTAAACGGGATATCTTCACATTCAAACTAGTCAGAAGCATTCTCAGAAACTGGTTTGTGATGTGTGCATTCTACTCACAGAGTTGAACCTTCCTTTTGAGAGAGCAGTTTTGAAACAATCTTTTTGTATTCTCTACAAGTGGATACTTGGAGCAATGGGAGGACTAAGATTGAAAAGGAAATATCTTCACGGCCAAACTTGACAGAAGCTTTCTCAGAATCTGCTTTGTGATGTGTGCATTTACCTCACAGAGTGGAACCGTCCTTTTGATAGAGCAGTTCTGAAACAGTCTTTTTGTAGGATCTGCGAGTGTTCATTTTGGAGCGCTTTTAAGCCTTTGGCGGAAAAGGAAATATCTTCACAAAAAAACTAGACAGAGGCATGCTCAGGAACTTCACTGAGATGTGTGCATTCAAGTAACTGAGTTGAATCTGCCTTTTGATAGAGCAGAATTGAAACACTCCTTTTGTAGAATCTGCTTGTGGATATTTGGAACTCTTTCAGGAGTTCGTTGGCAGCTGGTATCTTCACAAAAAAAGGAGACCCAAGGATTCTCAAAAAGTTCCTTGAGATGTGTGCCTTAAACTCACAGACTTCAAACTTTCTTTTGAGAGATCAGTGTTGGAACACGCTTTTTGTAGAATCTGCAAGTGTTCATTTAGTGCGCTTTGTTGCCTATGGTGGAAAAAGAAATATCTTCAAATGAAAACTAGACAGAAACATTCTCAGAAACTCCTTTGTGAAGTGTGTGTCAAATTCACAGAATTGAAATATTCCTTTGATAGCGCAGCTTTGAAACACCGCTTTTATAGGATCTGCTTGTGGATATCTGGAGCTCTTTGAGGAATTTGTTGTAAACGGGATATCTTCACATACAAAGTAGACAGAAGCATTCTCAGAAACTGCTTTGTGATGTGTGCATTCCAATCACAGACTTCAACCTTTCTTTTGAAAGAGCAGTGTTCAAACACACATTTTGTAGGATGTGCAAGTGTTCACTTGGAGCGCTTTTTTGCCTATGGTGGAAAAAGAAATATCTTCACATAAATACTAGACAGAAGCATTCTCAGAAACGCCTTAGTGATGTGTTTGTTCTATTCAGAGAGTTGAACCTTTCTTTTGATAGAGCAGTTTTGATACACTGCTTCTGTAGAATCTGCTTGTGGATATTTGGAGCTCTTTGAGGAATTCGTTGTAAACGGGATATCTTCACATACAAACTAGACAGAAGCATTCTCAGAAACTGCTTTGTGGTGTGTGCATTCAACTCACAGAGTTGAACCTTCCTTCTGAGAGAGCAGTTTTTAAACAGTCTCTTTGAAATATCTGCAAGTGGATATTTGGAGCGATGGGAAGTCTAAGTTTGAAAAGGAAATATCCTCACATACAAACTAGACAGAAGCAATCTCATTAACTGCTTTGCGATGTGTGCATTCAGCTCACAGAGTTGAACCTTCCTTTTGAGAGAGCAGTTTTGAAACAGTTTTTTGTAGTATCCTCAAGTGGATATATGGAGCGATGTGAGGCTTAAGATGGAAACGGGAATATCTTCACATGCAAACTAGAAAGAAGCATTCTCAGAAACTGCTTTGTGATGGGTGCATTCAACTCAGAGACTTGAACATTTCTTTAGACGGAGCAGTGTTGAAACACACATATGCAGAATCTGCAAGAGTTCATTTGGAGCGCTTTGATGCCTATGGTGGAAAAAGAAATATCTTCACATAAAGACTAGAAAGAAGCGTTCTCCGAAACTCCTTTGTGATATATGTGTTCAGTTCACAGAGTTGAACCTTTCTTTTGATTGAGCAGTTTTGAAACACTGCTTTTCTAGAATCTGCTTTTGGATATTTGAAGCTCTTTGACGAATTCGCTGTCAATGTTATATCTTCACATACAAACTAGACAGAAGCATTCTCAGAAACTGCTTTTTGATGTGTGCATTCAACACACGGAGTTGAACCTTCCTTCTGAGAACAGTTTTGAAGCAGTCTTTTTGTGGTATCTGCAAGTCGATATTTGGAACGATTTGGGACCTATGAGGGAAAAGGAACTATCTTCACGTACAAGCTAGACAGAAGCATTCTCAGAAACTGCTTTGTGATGTGTGCATTCAACACACGGAGTTGAACCTTCCTTCTGAGAGAACGGTTTTCAAACAGTCTTTTTGTAGTATCTGCAAGTCGATATTTGGAACGATTTGAGGCCTATGAGGGAAAAGGAACTATCTTCACATACAAACTAGACAGAAGCATGCTCAGAAACTGCTGTGTGATGTGTGCATTCAACTCACAGAGTTGAACCTTCCTTTTGAGAGAGACGTTTTGAAACAGTCTTTTTGTAGTATGTACAGGTGGATATTTTTGGTGCTTTGAGGTCTAAGATGGAAAAGGAAATACCTTCACCTACAAACTAGACAGAAGCATTCTCAGAAACTGCTTTGTGATGTGTGCATTAAACTTACAGACTTGAAACCTTATTTTGATAGAGCAGTGTTGAAACACACTTTTTATAGAACCTGCAAGTGTTCATTTGGAGAGCTTTGTTGCCTGTGGTGGAAAAAGAAATGTGTTCACATACAAACTAGAAAGAAGCCTTCTCAGAAACTCCTTTGAGATGTTTGTGTCTAATTCACAAAGTTGAACCTTTCTTTTGATAGAGCAGATTTGAAACACTGCTTTTGTAGAATCTGCTTGCGTGTATTAGGAGGTCTTTGAGGAATTGGGCGTATACGGGATATCTTCACATACAAATTACACAGAAGCATTCTCAGAAACTGCTCTGTGATGTGTGCATTCAACTCACAGAGTTGAAACTTTCTTTGGAGAAAGCTGTTCTGAAACAGTCTTTTTGTAGTATCTGCAAGTGGATATTTGGAGCGATTTCAGGCCTATGATGGAAAAGGAAATATGTTCACATACAAACTAGACAGAAGCAATCTCAGAAACTGCTTTGTGATGTGTGTGTTCAATTCACAGGGTTGACTATTTCTTTTGATTGAGCAGTTTTGAACCACCTGTTTTGTAGAATCTGCTTGTGGATATTTGTAGCTCTTGGAGGAATTCTTTGTAAAAGGGATATCTGCACATACACACTAGTCAGAAGCATTCTCAGAAACTTCTTTGTGATGTGTGAATTGAATTCACAGAGTTGAACCTTCCTTTTGAGAGAGCCGTTTTGAAACAATCTTTTTGAAGTATCTTCAATTGGATGTTTGTAGTGATTTGAGGCCTAAGATGGAAAAGGAAATATCTTCACATACAATCTAGACAGAGGCACTCTCAGAAGCTGCTTGGTGATGTCTGCATTCAACTCACAGACTTGAACCCTTGTTTTGAAAGAGCAGTGTTGAAACACACATTTTGTACGATCTGCAAGTGTTCATTTGGAGCGCTTTTGTGCCTATGGTGGATAAAGAAATATCTTCACATAAATACTAGACAGAAGCATTCTCAGAAACTGCTTTGTGATGTGTGCATTCAACTCACAGAGTTGAACCTTCCTTTTGAGAGAGAGGTTTTGAAACAGTCTTTTTGTAGTATCTGCAAGTGGATATTTTTAGTGATTTGAGGTCTAAGATGGAAAAGGAAATACCTTCACCTACAAACTAGACAGAAGCATTCTCAGAAACTGCTTTGTGATGTGTGCATTAAACTTACAGACTTGAAACTTTATTTTGATAGAGCAGTGTTGAAACACACTTTTTATAGAATCTGCAAGTGTTCATTTGGAGAGCTTTGTTGCCTCTGGTGGAAAAAGGAATATGTTCACCTAGAAACTAGAAAGAAGCATTCTCAGAAACTCCTTTGAGATGTTTGTGTCCAATTCACAAAGTTGAACCTTTCTTTTGATAGAGCAGATTTGAAACATTGCTTTTGTAGACTCTGCTTGCGGATATTTGGAGGTCTTTGAGGAATTGGGCGTATACGGGATATCTTCACCTACAAGTTACACAGAAGCATTCTCAGAAACTGCTTTGTGATGTGTGCATTCAACTCACAGAGTTGAAACTTTCTTTTGAGAAAGCAGTTTTGAAACAGTCTTTTTGTAGTATCTGCAAGTGGATATTTGGAGCGATTTGAGGCCTATGATGGAAAAGGAAATATGTTCACATACAAACTAGACAGGAGCGTTCTGAGAAACTGCTTTGTGATGTGTGCATTCACCTCACAGAGTGGAACCTTTCTTTGGATAGAGCAGTTTTGAAACAGTCTTTCTCTAGTATCTGCAAGTGTTCATTTTGAGCGCTTTGAGGCCCATGATGGAAAAGGAAATATTTTCACATAAAAACTAGACAGAAGCTTTCTCAGGAACTTCATTGAGATGTGTGCATTAAAGTAACTGAGTTGAATACGTCTTTTGATAGAGCAGTATTGAAACACTTCTTTTGTAGAATCTGCCTGTGGATATCTGGAACTCTTTGAAGAATTCTTTGGAAACGGCTATCTTCACATAAAAAGTAGACCCAAGCATTCACAGAACGTTCTTTGTGACATGTACATTGGACTCCCAGACTTGAAACTTTCTTTTGATAGAGCAGTGTTGGAACACACTTTTTGTAGAATCTTCATGTGTTCGTTTGGAGTGCTCTGTTGCCTATGGTGGAAAAAGGAATATCTTCACCTAAAAACCAGACAGAAGCATTCTCAGAGACTGCTTTGTGATGTGTGTGTTCAATTCGCTGAGTTGAATGTTCCTTTTGATAGAGCAGTTTTGAAACACTGCTTTTGTAGAATCTGCTTGTTGATATTGGGGGCTCTATGAGGAATTTGTTGTAAACGGGATATCTTCACATACAAAGTAGACAGAAGCATTCTCAGAAACTGCTCTGTGATGTGTGCATTCAACTCACAGAGTTGAACCTTCCTTTTGCGAGAGCTGTTTTGAAGCAGTCTTTTTGTGGTATCTGCAATTGGATATTTGGATCGATTTGAGGCCTAAGATGGAAAAGGAAATATCTCCACATACAAACTAGACAGAAGCATTCTCAGACACTGCGTTGTGATGTGTGCATTCAACTCACAGAGTTGAACCTTCCTTTTGAGAGCAGTTTTGAAACAGTCTTTTTGAAGTATCTGCAAGTGGATGTTTGGAGAGATTTGAGGCCTAAGATGGAAAAGGATATATCTTCACCTAAAAACTAGGCAGAAGCATTCTCAGAAACTGCTTTGTGATGTGGGGATTCAACTCACAGGCTTGAAACTTTCTTTTGATACAGCAGGGTTCAAACACACTTTTTGTAGAATCTGCAAGTGTTCATTTGGAGTGCTTTCTTGCCCATGGTGGAAAAAGAAATATCTTCACCTGAAAACTAGACAGAAACTTTCTCAGAAAATACTTTGTGATGTAGTTGTTCAATTCACAGGGTTGAACCTTTCTTTAGATAAAGCAGTTTTGAAACACTGCTTTTGTAGAATCTTCTTGTGGATATTTGGAGCTGTTTGAGGAATTCGTTTTAAACGGGATATCTTCACATTCAAACTAGTCAGAAGCATCCTCAGAAACTGGTTTGTGATGTGTGCATTCTACTCACAGAGTTGAACCTTCCTTTTGAGAGAACAGTTTTGAAACAATCTTTTTGTACTATCTGCAAGTGGATATTTGGAACAATGGGAGGACTAAGATGGAAAAGGAAATATCTTCACAGCCAAACTTGACAGAAGCTTTCTCAGAATCTGCTTTGTGATGTGTGCATTCACCTCACAGAGTGGAACCGTCCTTTTGATAGAGCAGTTCTGAAACAGTCTTTTTGTAGGATCTGCGAGTGTTCATTTTGGAGAGCTTTTAAGCCTTTGGCGGAAAAGGAAATATCTTCACAGAAAACTAGACAGAGGCATGCTCAGGAACTTCATTGAGATGTGTGCATTCAAGTAACTGAGTTGAATCTGCCTTTTGATAGAGCAGAATTGAAACAATCCTTTTGTAGAATCTACTTGTGGATATTTGGAACTCTTTCAGGAATTCGTTGGTAGTTGGTATCTTCCCAAAAAAAGGAGACCCAAGCATTCTCAAAAAGTTCTTTGAGATGTGTGCCTTCAACTCACAGACTTCAAACATTCTTTTGAGAGATCAGTGTTGGAACACGCTTTTTGTAGAATCTGCAAGGGTTCATTTAGTGCGCTTTGTTGCCTATAGTGGAAAAAGAAATATCTTCAAATGAAAACTAGACAGAAACATTCTCAGAAACTCCTTTGTGAAGTGTGTGTCAAATTCACAGAATTGAAATTTTCTTATGATAGAGCAGTTTTGAAACACCGCATTTATAGGATCTGCTTGTGGATATTTGGAGCTCTTTGAGTATTTCGTTGTAAACGGGATATCTTCACATACAAACTAGACAGAAGCATTCACAGAAACTGCTTAGTGATGTGTGCATTCAACTCACAGACTTGAACCTTTCTCTTGAAAGAGCAGTGTTGAAACAAACATTTTGTAGGATGTGCAAGTGTTCACTTGGAGCGTTTTTTTGCCTATGGTGGAAAAAGAAATATCTTCACATAAATACTAGACAGAAGCATTCTCAGAAACTCCTTTTTGATGTGTTTGTTCTATTCAGAGAGTTGAACCTTTCTTTTGATAGAGCAGTTTTGATACACTGCTTCTGTAGAATCTGCTTGTGGATATTTGGAGCTCTTTGAGGAATTCGTTGTAAACGGGATATCTTCGCATACAAACTAGACAGCAGCATTCTCAGAAACTGCTTAGTGATGTGTGCATTCAACTCACAGACTTGAACCTTTCTCTTGAAAGAGCAGTGTTGAAACACACATTTTGTAGGATGTGCAAGTGTTCACTTGGAGCGTTTTTTTGCCTATGGTGGATAAAGAAATATCTTCACATACAAACTAGACAGAAGCAATCTCATTTACTGCTTTGTGATGTGTGCATTCAGCTCACAGAGTTGAACCTTCCTTTTGAGAGAGCAGTTTTGAAACAGTTTTTTGTAGTATCCTCAAGTGGATATATGGAGCGATGTGAGGCTTAACATGGAAACGGGAATATCTTCACATAGAAACTAGATAGAAGCATTCTCAGAAACTCCTTTGTGATGGGTGCATTCAACACAGAGACTTGAACATTTCTTTAGACGGAGCAGTGTTGAAACACACATTTGTAGAATCTGCAAGTGTTCATTTGGAGCGCTTTGATGCCTATGGTGGAAAAAGAAGTATCTTCACATAAAGACTAGAAAGAAGCGTTCTCCGAAACTCCTTTGTGATATATGTGTTCAGTTCACAGAGTTGAAGCTTTCTTTTGATTGAGCAGTTTTGAAACACTGCTTTTCTAGAATCTGCTTTTGGATATTTGAAGCTCTTTGACGAATTCGCTGTCAATGTTATATCTTCACATACAAACTAGACAGAAGCATTCTCAGAAACTGCTTTTTGATGTGTGCATTCAACACACGGAGTTGAACCTTCCTTCTGAGAACAGTTTTGAAGCAGTCTTTTTGTGGTATCTGCAAGTCGATATTTGGAACGATTTGGGACCTATGAGGGAAAAGGAACTATCTTCACGTACAAGCTAGACAGAAGCATTCTCAGAAACTGCTTTGTGATGTGTGCATTCAACACACGGAGTTGAACCTTCCTTCTGAGAGAACGGTTTTCAAACAGTCTTTTTGTAGTATCTGCAAGTCGATATTTGGAACGATTTGAGGCCTATGAGGGAAAAGGAACTATCTTCACATACAAACTAGACAGAAGCATGCTCAGAAACTGCTGTGTGATGTGTGCATTCAACTCACAGAGTTGAACCTTCCTTTTGAGAGAGACGTTTTGAAACAGTCTTTTTGTAGTATGTACAGGTGGATATTTTTGGTGATTTGAGGTCTAAGATGGAAAAGGAAATACCTTCACCTACAAACTAGACAGAAGCATTCTCAGAAACTGCTTTGTGATGTGTGCATTAAACTTACAGACTTGAAACTTTATTTTGATAGAGCAGTGTTGAAACACACTTTTTATAGAATCTGCAAGTGTTCATTTGGAGAGCTTTGTTGCCTGTGGTGGAAAAAGGAATATGTTCACCTAGAAACTAGAAAGAAGCCTTCTCAGAAACTCCTTTGAGATGTTTGTGTCCAATTCACAAAGTTGAACCTTTCTTTTGATAGAGCAGATTTGAAACACTGCTTTTGTAGAATCTGCTTGCGGATATTTGGCGGTCTTTTAGGAATTGGGCGTATACGGGAGATCTTCACATACAAGTTACACAGAAGCATTCTCAGAAACTGCTTTGTGATGTGTGCATTCAACTCACAGAGTTGAAACTTTCTTTTGAGAAAGCAGTTTTGAAACAGTCTTTTTGTAGTATCTGCAAGTGGATATTTGGAGCGATTTGAGGCCTATGATGGAAAAGGAAATATGTTCACATACAAACTAGACAGAAGCGTTCTGAGAAACTGCTTTGTGATGTGTGCATTCACCTCACAGAGTGGAACCTTTCTTTGGATAGAGCAGTTTTGAAACAGTCTTTCTCTAGTATCTGCAAGTGTTCATTTTGAGCGCTTTGAGGCCCATGATGGAAAAGGAAATATTTTCACATAAAAACTAGACAGAAGCTTTCTCAGGAACTTCATTGAGATGTGTGCATTAAAGTAACTGAGTTGAATACGTCTTTTGATAGAGCAGTATTGAAACACTTCTTTTGTAGAATCTGCCTGTGGATATCTGGAACTCTTTGAAGAATTCTTTGGAAACGGCTATCTTCACATAAAAAGTAGACCCAAGCATTCACAGAACGTTCTTTGTGACATGTACATTGGACTCCCAGACTTGAAACTTTCTTTTGATAGAGCAGTGTTGGAACACACTTTTTGTAGAATCTTCATGTGTTCGTTTGGAGTGCTCTGTTGCCTATGGTGGAAAAAGGAATATCTTCACCTAAAAACCAGACAGAAGCATTCTCAGAGACTGCTTTGTGATGTGTGTGTTCAATTCGCAGAGTTGAAAGTTGCTTTTGATAGAGCAGTTTTGAAACACTGCTTTTGTAGAATCTGCTTGTTGCTATTGGGGGCTCTTTGAGGAATTTGTTGTAAACGGGATATCTTCACATACAAAGTAGGCAGAAGCATTCTCAGAAACTGCTCTGTGATGTGTGCATTCAACTCACAGAGTTGAACCTTCCTTTTGCGAGAGCTGTTTTGAAGCAGTCTTTTTGTGGTATCTGCAATTGGATATTTGGATCGATTTGAGGCCTAAGATGGAAAAGGAAATATCTCCACATACAAACTAGACAGAAGCATTCTCAGACACTGCGTTGTGATGTGTGCATTCAACTCACAGAGTTGAACCTTCCTTTTGAGAGCAGTTTTGAAACAGTCTTTTTGAAGTATCTGCAAGTGGATGTTTGGAGAGATTTGAGGCCTAAGATGGAAAAGGATATATCTTCACCTAAAAACTAGGCAGAAGCATTCTCAGAAACTGCTTTGTGATGTGGGGATTCAACTCACAGGCTTGAAACTTTCTTTTGATAGAGCAGGCTTCAAACACACTTTTTGTAGAATCTGCAGTGTTCATTTGGAGTGCTTTCTTGCCCATGGTGGAAAAAGAAATATCTTCACGTAAAAACTAGACAGAAACATTCTCAGAAAATACTTTGTGATGTGGTTGTTCAATTCACAGGGTTGAACCTTTCTTTAGATAAAGCAGTTTTGAAACACTGCTTTTGTAGAATCTTCTTGTGGATATTTGGAGCTGTTTGAGGAATTCGTTTTAAACGGGATATCTTCACATTCAAACTAGTCAGAAGCATTCTCAGAAACTGGTTTGTGATGTGTGCATTCTACTCACAGAGTTGAACCTTCCTTTTGAGAGAGCAGTTTTGAAACAATCTTTTTGTATTCTCTACAAGTGGATACTTGGAGCAATGGGAGGACTAAGATTGAAAAGGAAATATCTTCACGGCCAAACTTGACAGAAGCTTTCTCAGAATCTGCTTTGTGATGTGTGCATTTACCTCACAGAGTGGAACCGTCCTTTTGATAGAGCAGTTCTGAAACAGTCTTTTTGTAGGATCTGCGAGTGTTCATTTTGGAGCGCTTTTAAGCCTTTGGCGGAAAAGGAAATATCTTCACAAAAAAACTAGACAGAGGCATGCTCAGGAACTTCACTGAGATGTGTGCATTCAAGTAACTGAGTTGAATCTGCCTTTTGATAGAGCAGAATTGAAACACTCCTTTTGTAGAATCTGCTTGTGGATATTTGGAACTCTTTCAGGAGTTCGTTGGCAGCTGGTATCTTCACAAAAAAAGGAGACCCAAGGATTCTCAAAAAGTTCCTTGAGATGTGTGCCTTAAACTCACAGACTTCAAACTTTCTTTTGAGAGATCAGTGTTGGAACACGCTTTTTGTAGAATCTGCAAGTGTTCATTTAGTGTGCTTTGTTGCCTATGGTGGAAAAAGAAATATCTTCAAATGAAAACTAGACAGAAACATTCTCAGAAACTCCTTTGTGAAGTGTGTGTCAAATTCACAGAATTGAAATATTCCTTTGATAGCGCAGCTTTGAAACACCGCTTTTATAGGATCTGCTTGTGGATATCTGGAGCTCTTTGAGGAATTTGTTGTAAACGGGATATCTTCACATACAAAGTAGACAGAAGCATTCTCAGAAACTGCTTTGTGATGTGTGCATTCCAATCACAGACTTCAACCTTTCTTTTGAAAGAGCAGTGTTCAAACACACATTTTGTAGGATGTGCAAGTGTTCACTTGGAGCGCTTTTTTGCCTATGGTGGAAAAAGAAATATCTTCACATAAATACTAGACAGAAGCATTCTCAGAAACGCCTTAGTGATGTGTTTGTTCTATTCAGAGAGTTGAACCTTTCTTTTGATAGAGCAGTTTTGATACACTGCTTCTGTAGAATCTGCTTGTGGATATTTGGAGCTCTTTGAGGAATTCGTTGTAAACGGGATATCTTCACATACAAACTAGACAGAAGCATTCTCAGAAACTGCTTTGTGGTGTGTGCATTCAACTCACAGAGTTGAACCTTCCTTCTGAGAGAGCAGTTTTTAAACAGTCTCTTTGAAATATCTGCAAGTGGATATTTGGAGCGATGGGAAGTCTAAGTTTGAAAAGGAAATATCCTCACATACAAACTAGACAGAAGCAATCTCATTAACTGCTTTGCGATGTGTGCATTCAGCTCACAGAGTTGAACCTTCCTTTTGAGAGAGCAGTTTTGAAACAGTTTTTTGTAGTATCCTCAAGTGGATATATGGAGCGATGTGAGGCTTAAGATGGAAACGGGAATATCTTCACATGCAAACTAGAAAGAAGCATTCTCAGAAACTGCTTTGTGATGGGTGCATTCAACTCAGAGACTTGAACATTTCTTTAGACGGAGCAGTGTTGAAACACACATATGCAGAATCTGCAAGAGTTCATTTGGAGCGCTTTGATGCCTATGGTGGAAAAAGAAATATCTTCACATAAAGACTAGAAAGAAGCGTTCTCCGAAACTCCTTTGTGATATATGTGTTCAGTTCACAGAGTTGAACCTTTCTTTTGATTGAGCAGTTTTGAAACACTGCTTTTCTAGAATCTGCTTTTGGATATTTGAAGCTCTTTGACGAATTCACTGTCAATGTTATATCTTCACATACAAACTAGACAGAAGCATTCTCAGAAACTGCTTTTTGATGTGTGCATTCAACACACGGAGTTGAACCTTCCTTCTGAGAACAGTTTTGAAGCAGTCTTTTTGTGGTATCTGCAAGTCGATATTTGGAACGATTTGGGACCTATGAGGGAAAAGGAACTATCTTCACATACAAGCTAGACAGAAGCATTCTCAGAAACTGCTTTGTGATGTGTGCATTCAACACACGGAGTTGAACCTTCCTTCTGAGAGAACGGTTTTCAAACAGTCTTTTTGTAGTATCTGCAAGTCGATATTTGGAACGATTTGAGGCCTATGAGGGAAAAGGAACTATCTTCACATACAAACTAGACAGAAGCATGCTCAGAAACTGCTTTGTGATGTGTGCATTCAACTCACAGAGTTGAACCTTCCTTTTGAGAGAGAGGTTTTGAAACCTTCTTTTTGTAGTATATACAAGTGGATATTTTTAGTGATTTGAGGTCTAAGATGGAAAAGGAAATACCTTCACCTACAAACTAGACAGAAGCATTTTCAGAAACTGCTTTGTGATGTGTGCATTAAACGTACAGACTTGAAACCTTATTTTGATAGAGCAGTGTTGAAATACACTTTTTATGGAATCTGCAAGTGTTCATTTGGAGAGCTTTGTTGCCTGTGGTGGAAAAAGAAATGTGTTCACGTACAAACTAGAAAGAAGCCTTCTCAGAAACTCCTTTGAGATGTTTGTGTCCAATTCACAAAGTTGAACCTTTCTTTTGATAGAGCAGATTTGAAACACTGCTTTTGTAGAATCTGCTTGCGTGTATTTGGAGGTCTTTGAGGAATTGGGCGTATACGGGATATCTTCACATACAAATTACACAGAAGCATTCTCAGAAACTGCTCTGTGATGTGTGCATTCAACTAACAGAGTTGAAACTTTCTTTGGAGAAAGCAGTTCTGAAACAGTCTTTTTGTAGTATCTGCAAGTGGATACTTGGAGCGATTTGAGGCCTATGATGGAAAAGGAAATATGTTCACTTACAAACTAGACAGAAGCATTCTCAGAAACTGCTTTGTGATGTGTGTGTTCAATTCACAGGGTTGACTCTTTCTTTTGATTGAGCAGTTTTGAACCACCTGTTTTGTAGAATCTGCTTGTGGATATTTGTAGCTCTTGGAGGAATTCTTTGTAAAAGGGATATCTTCACATACACACTAGTCAGAAGCATTCTCAGAAACTTCTTTGTGATGTGTGAATTGAACTCACAGAGTTGAACCTTCCTTTTGAGAGAGCCGTTTTGAAACAATCTTTTTGAAGTATCTTCAATTGGATGTTTGTAGTGATTTGAGGCCTAAGATGGAATAGGAAATATCTTCACATACAATCTAGACAGAAGCACTCTCAGAAGCTGCTTGGTGATGTCTGCATTCAACTCACAGACTTGAACCCTTGTTTTGAAAGAGCAGTGTTGAAACACACATTTTGTACGATCTGCAAGTGTTCATTTGGAACGCTGTTGTGCCTATGGTGGATAAAGAAATATCTTCACATAAATACTAGAAAGTAGCATTCTCAGAAACTGCTTTGTGATGTGTGCATTCAACTCACAGAGTTGCACCTTCCTTTTGAGAGAGAGGTTTTGAAACAGTCTTTTTGTAGTATCTGCAAGTGGATATTTTTAGTGATTTGAGGTCTAAGATGGAAAAGGAAATACCTTCACCTACAAACTAGACAGAAGCATTCTCAGAAACTGCTTTGTGATGTGTGCATTAAACTTACAGACTTGAAACTTTATTTTGATAGAGCAGTGTTGAAACACACTTTTTATAGAATCTGCAAGTGTTCATTTGGAGAGCTTTGTTGCCTGTGGTGGAAAAAAGAATATGTTCACCTAGAAACTAGAAAGAAGCCTTCTCAGAAACTCCTTTGAGATGTTTGTGTCCAATTCACAAAGTTGAACCTTTCTTTTGATAGAGCAGATTTGAAACACTGCTTTTGTAGAATCTGCTTGCGGATATTTGGCGGTCTTTTAGGAATTGGGCGTATACGGGAGATCTTCACATACAAGTTACACAGAAGCATTCTCAGAAACTGCTTTGTGATGTGTGCATTCAACTCACAGAGTTGAAACTTTCTTTTGAGAAAGCAGTTTTGAAACAGTCTTTTTGTAGTATCTGCAAGTGGATATTTGGAGCGATTTGAGGCCTATGATGGAAAAGGAAATATGTTCACATACAAACTAGACAGAAGCGTTCTGAGAAACTGCTTTGTGATGTGTGCATTCACCTCACAGAGTGGAACCTTTCTTTGGATAGAGCAGTTTTGAAACAGTCTTTCTCTAGTATCTGCAAGTGTTCATTTTGAGCGCTTTGAGGCCCATGATGGAAAAGGAAATATTTTCACATAAAAACTAGACAGAAGCTTTCTCAGGAACTTCATTGAGATGTGTGCATTAAAGTAACTGAGTTGAATACGTCTTTTGATAGAGCAGTATTGAAACACTTCTTTTGTAGAATCTGCCTGTGGATATCTGGAACTCTTTGAAGAATTCTTTGGAAACGGCTATCTTCACATAAAAAGTAGACCCAAGCATTCACAGAACGTTCTTTGTGACATGTACATTGGACTCCCAGACTTGAAACTTTCTTTTGATAGAGCAGTGTTGGAACACACTTTTTGTAGAATCTTCATGTGTTCGTTTGGAGTGCTCTGTTGCCTATGGTGGAAAAAGGAATATCTTCACCTAAAAACCAGACAGAAGCATTCTCAGAGACTGCTTTGTGATGTGTGTGTTCAATTCGCTGAGTTGAATGTTCCTTTTGATAGAGCAGTTTTGAAACACTGCTTTTGTAGAATCTGCTTGTTGATATTGGGGGCTCTATGAGGAATTTGTTGTAAACGGGATATCTTCACATACAAAGTAGACAGAAGCATTCTCAGAAACTGCTCTGTGATGTGTGCATTCAACTCACAGAGTTGAACCTTCCTTTTGCGAGAGCTGTTTTGAAGCAGTCTTTTTGTGGTATCTGCAATTGGATATTTGGATCGATTTGAGGCCTAAGATGGAAAAGGAAATATCTCCACATACAAACTAGACAGAAGCATTCTCAGACACTGCGTTGTGATGTGTGCATTCAACTCACAGAGTTGAACCTTCCTTTTGAGAGCAGTTTTGAAACAGTCTTTTTGAAGTATCTGCAAGTGGATGTTTGGAGAGATTTGAGGCCTAAGATGGAAAAGGATATATCTTCACCTAAAAACTAGGCAGAAGCATTCTCAGAAACTGCTTTGTGATGTGGGGATTCAACTCACAGGCTTGAAACTTTCTTTTGATACAGCAGGGTTCAAACACACTTTTTGTAGAATCTGCAAGTGTTCATTTGGAGTGCTTTCTTGCCCATGGTGGAAAAAGAAATATCTTCACGTAAAAACTAGACAGAAACATTCTCAGAAAATACTTTGTGATGTGGTTGTTCAATTCACAGGGTTGAACCTTTCTTTAGATAAAGCAGTTTTGAAACACTGCTTTTGTAGAATCTTCTTGTGGATATTTGGAGCTGTTTGAGGAATTCGTTTTAAACGGGATATCTTCACATTCAAACTAGTCAGAAGCATTCTCAGAAACTGGTTTGTGATGTGTGCATTCTACTCACAGAGTTGAACCTTCCTTTTGAGAGAGCAGTTTTGAAACAATCTTTTTGTATTCTCTACAAGTGGATACTTGGAGCAATGGGAGGACTAAGATTGAAAAGGAAATATCTTCACGGCCAAACTTGACAGAAGCTTTCTCAGAATCTGCTTTGTGATGTGTGCATTTACCTCACAGAGTGGAACCGTCCTTTTGATAGAGCAGTTCTGAAACAGTCTTTTTGTAGGATCTGCGAGTGTTCATTTTGGAGCGCTTTTAAGCCTTTGGCGGAAAAGGAAATATCTTCACAAAAAAACTAGACAGAGTCATGCTCTGGAACGTCACTGAGATGTGTGCATTCAAGTAACTGAGTTGAATCTGCCTTTTGATAGAGCAGAATTGAAACACTCCTTTTGTAGAATCTGCTTGTGGATATTTGGAACTCTTTCAGGAATTCGTTGGCAGCTGGTATCTTCACAAAAAATGGAGACCCAAGGATTCTCAAAAAGTTCCTTGAGATGTGTGCCTTAAACTCACAGACTTCAAACTTTCTTTTGAGAGATCAGTGTTGGAACACGCTTTTTGTAGAATCTGCAAGTGTTCATTTAGTGCGCTTTGTTGCCTATGGTGGAAAAAGAAATATCTTCAAATGAAAACTAGACAGAAACATTCTCAGAAACTCCTTTGTGAAGTGTGTGTCAAATTCACAGAATTGAAATATTCCTTTGATAGCGCAGCTTTGAAACACCGCTTTTATAGGATCTGCTTGTGGATATCTGGAGCTCTTTGAGGAATTTGTTGTAAACGGGATATCTTCACATACAAAGTAGACAGAAGCATTCTCAGAAACTGCTTTGTGATGTGTGCATTCCAATCACAGACTTCAACCTTTCTTTTGAAAGAGCAGTGTTCAAACACACATTTTGTAGGATGTGCAAGTGTTCACTTGGAGCGCTTTTTTGCCTATGGTGGAAAAAGAAATATCTTCACATAAATACTAGACAGAAGCATTCTCAGAAACGCCTTAGTGATGTGTTTGTTCTATTCAGAGAGTTGAACCTTTCTTTTGATAGAGCAGTTTTGATACACTGCTTCTGTAGAATCTGCTTGTGGATATTTGGAGCTCTTTGAGGAATTCGTTGTAAACGGGATATCTTCACATACAAACTAGACAGAAGCATTCTCAGAAACTGCTTTGTGGTGTGTGCATTCAACTCACAGAGTTGAACCTTCCTTCTGAGAGAGCAGTTTTTAAACAGTCTCTTTGAAATATCTGCAAGTGGATATTTGGAGCGATGGGAAGTCTAAGTTTGAAAAGGAAATATCCTCACATACAAACTAGACAGAAGCAATCTCATTAACTGCTTTGCGATGTGTGCATTCAGCTCACAGAGTTGAACCTTCCTTTTGAGAGAGCAGTTTTGAAACAGTTTTTTGTAGTATCCTCAAGTGGATATATGGAGCGATGTGAGGCTTAAGATGGAAACGGGAATATCTTCACATGCAAACTAGAAAGAAGCATTCTCAGAAACTGCTTTGTGATGGGTGCATTCAACTCAGAGACTTGAACATTTCTTTAGACGGAGCAGTGTTGAAACACACATATGCAGAATCTGCAAGAGTTCATTTGGAGCGCTTTGATGCCTATGGTGGAAAAAGAAATATCTTCACATAAAGACTAGAAAGAAGCGTTCTCCGAAACTCCTTTGTGATATATGTGTTCAGTTCACAGAGTTGAACCTTTCTTTTGATTGAGCAGTTTTGAAACACTGCTTTTCTAGAATCTGCTTTTGGATATTTGAAGCTCTTTGACGAATTCACTGTCAATGTTATATCTTCACATACAAACTAGACAGAAGCATTCTCAGAAACTGCTTTTTGATGTGTGCATTCAACACACGGAGTTGAACCTTCCTTCTGAGAACAGTTTTGAAGCAGTCTTTTTGTGGTATCTGCAAGTCGATATTTGGAACGATTTGGGACCTATGAGGGAAAAGGAACTATCTTCACGTACAAGCTAGACAGAAGCATTCTCAGAAACTGCTTTGTGATGTGTGCATTCAACACACGGAGTTGAACCTTCCTTCTGAGAGAACGGTTTTCAAACAGTCTTTTTGTAGTATCTGCAAGTCGATATTTGGAACGATTTGAGGCCTATGAGGGAAAAGGAACTATCTTCACATACAAACTAGACAGAAGCACGCTCAGAAACTGCTGTGTGATGTGTGCATTCAACTCACAGAGTTGAACCTTCCTTTTGAGAGAGACGTTTTGAAACAGTCTTTTTGTAGTATGTACAGGTGGATATTTTTGGTGATTTGAGGTCTAAGATGGAAAAGGAAATACCTTCACCTACAAACTAGACAGAAGCATTCTCAGAAACTGCTTTGTGATGTGTGCATTAAACTTACAGACTTGAAACCTTATTTTGATAGAGCAGTGTTGAAACACACTTTTTATAGAATCTGCAAGTGTTCATTTGGAGAGCTTTGTTGCCTGTGGTGGAAAAAGAAATGTGTTCACATACAAACTAGAAAGAAGCCTTCTCAGAAACTCCTTTGAGATGTTTGTGTCTAATTCACAAAGTTGAACCTTTCTTTTGATAGAGCAGATTTGAAACACTGCTTTTGTAGAATCTGCTTGCGTGTATTTGGAGGTCTTTGAGGAATTGGGCGTATATGGGATATCTTCACATACAAATTACACAGAAGCATTCTCAGAAACTGCTCTGTGATGTGTGCATTCAACTAACAGAGTTGAAACTTTCTTTGGAGAAAGCAGTTCTGAAACAGTCTTTTTGTAGTATCTGCAAGTGGATACTTGGAGCGATTTGAGGCCTATGATGGAAAAGGAAATATGTTCACTTACAAACTAGACAGAAGCATTCTCAGAAACTGCTTTGTGATGTGTGTGTTCAATTCACAGGGTTGACTCTTTCTTTTGATTGAGCAGTTTTGAACCACCTGTTTTGTAGAATCTGCTTGTGGATATTTGTAGCTCTTGGAGGAATTCTTTGTAAAAGGGATATCTTCACATACACACTAGTCAGAAGCATTCTCAGAAACTTCTTTGTGATGTGTGAATTGAACTCACAGAGTTGAACCTTCCTTTTGAGAGAGCCGTTTTGAAACAATCTTTTTGAAGTATCTTCAATTGGATGTTTGTAGTGATTTGAGGCCTAAGATGGAATAGGAAATATCTTCACATACAATCTAGACAGAAGCACTCTCAGAAGCTGCTTGGTGATGTCTGCATTCAACTCACAGACTTGAACCCTTGTTTTGAAAGAGCAGTGTTGAAACACACATTTTGTACGATCTGCAAGTGTTCATTTGGAACGCTGTTGTGCCTATGGTGGATAAAGAAATATCTTCACATAAATACTAGAAAGTAGCATTCTCAGAAACTGCTTTGTGATGTGTGCATTCAACTCACAGAGTTGCACCTTCCTTTTGAGAGAGAGGTTTTGAAACAGTCTTTTTGTAGTATCTGCAAGTGGATATTTTTAGTGATTTGAGGTCTAAGATGGAAAAGGAAATACCTTCACCTACAAACTAGACAGAAGCATTCTCAGAAACTGCTTTGTGATGTGTGCATTAAACTTACAGACTTGAAACTTTATTTTGATAGAGCAGTGTTGAAACACACTTTTTATAGAATCTGCAAGTGTTCATTTGGAGAGCTTTGTTGCCTGTGGTGGAAAAAGGAATATGTTCACCTAGAAACTAGAAAGAAGCCTTCTCAGAAACTCCTTTGAGATGTTTGTGTCCAATTCACAAAGTTGAACCTTTCTTTTGATAGAGCAGATTTGAAACACTGCTTTTGTAGAATCTGCTTGCGGATATTTGGCGGTCTTTTAGGAATTGGGCGTATACGGGAGATCTTCACATACAAGTTACACAGAAGCATTCTCAGAAACTGCTTTGTGATGTGTGCATTCAACTCACAGAGTTGAAACTTTCTTTTGAGAAAGCAGTTTTGAAACAGTCTTTTTGTAGTATCTGCAAGTGGATATTTGGAGCGATTTGAGGCCTATGATGGAAAAGGAAATATGTTCACATACAAACTAGACAGAAGCGTTCTGAGAAACTGCTTTGTGATGTGTGCATTCACCTCACAGAGTGGAACCTTTCTTTGGATAGAGCAGTTTTGAAACAGTCTTTCTCTAGTATCTGCAAGTGTTCATTTTGAGCGCTTTGAGGCCCATGATGGAAAAGGAAATATTTTCACATAAAAACTAGACAGAAGCTTTCTCAGGAACTTCATTGAGATGTGTGCATTAAAGTAACTGAGTTGAATACGTCTTTTGATAGAGCAGTATTGAAACACTTCTTTTGTAGAATCTGCCTGTGGATATCTGGAACTCTTTGAAGAATTCTTTGGAAACGGCTATCTTCACATAAAAAGTAGACCCAAGCATTCACAGAACGTTCTTTGTGACATGTACATTGGACTCCCAGACTTGAAACTTTCTTTTGATAGAGCAGTGTTGGAACACACTTTTTGTAGAATCTTCATGTGTTCGTTTGGAGTGCTCTGTTGCCTATGGTGGAAAAAGGAATATCTTCACCTAAAAACCAGACAGAAGCATTCTCCGAGACTGCTTTGTGATGTGTGTGTTCAATTCGCAGAGTTAAAAGTTCCTTTTGATAGAGCAGTTTTGAAACACTGCTTTTGTAGAATCTGCTTGTTGCTATTGGGGGCTCTTTGAGGAATTTGTTGTAAACGGGATATCTTCACATACAAAGTAGACAGAAGCATTCTCAGAAACTGCTTTGTGATGTGTGCATTCCAATCACAGACTTCAACCTTTCTTTTGAAAGAGCAGTGTTGAAACACACATTTTGTAGCATGTGCAAGTGTTCACTTGGAGCTCTTTTTTGCCTATGGTGGAAAAAGAAATATCTTCACATAAATACTAGACAGAAGCATTCTCAGAAACTCCTTTGTGATGTGTTTGTTCTATTCAGAGTGTTGAACCTTTATTTTGATAGAGCAGAATTGAAACACTCCTTTTGTAGAATCTGCTTGTGGATATTTGGAGCTCTTTGAGGAATTCGTTGTAAACGGGATATCTTCACATACAAACTAGACAGCAGCATTCTCAGAAACTGCCTTGTGGTGTGTGCATTCAACTCACATAGGTGAACCTTCCTTCTGAGAGAGCAGTTTTTAAACAGTCTCTTTGAAATAACTGCAAGTGGATATTTGGAGCGATGGGAAGTCTAAGATTGAAAAGGAAATATCCTCACATACAAACTAGACAGAAGCAATCTCATTAACTGCTTTGTGATGTGTGCATTCAGCTCACAGAGTTGAACCTTCCTTTTGAGAGAGCAGTTTTGAAACAGTTTTTTGTAGTATCCTCAAGTGGATATATGGAGCGATGTGAGGCTTAAGATGGAAACGGGAATATCTTCACATACAAACTAGATAGAAGCATTCTCAGAAACTGCTTTGTGATGGGTGCATTCAACTCAGAGACTTGAACATTTCTTTAGACGGAGCAGTTTGAAACACACATTTGTAGAATCTGCAAGAGTTCATTTGGAGCGCTTTGATGCCTATGGTGGAAAAAGAAATATCTTCACATAAGCACTACAAAGAAGCGTTCTCCGAAACTCCTTTGTGATATGTGTGTTCAATTCACAGAGTTGAACCTTTCTTTTCATTGAGCAGTTTTGAAAAACTGCTTTTCTAGAATCTGCTTGTGGATATTTGGAGCTCTTTGAGGAATTCATTGTCAATGGGATATCTTCATATACAAACTAGCCAGAAGCATTCTCAGAAACTGCTTTGTGATGTGTGCATTCAACACACGGAGTTGAACCTTCCTTCTGAGAGAACAGTTTTCAAACAGTCTTTTTGTAGTATCTGCAAGTCGCTATTTGGAACGCTATGAGGCCTATGAGGGAAAAGGAACTATCTTCACATACAAACTAGACAGAAGCATGCTCAGAAACTGCTTTGTGATGTGTGTGTTCAATTCACAGGGTTGACTCTTTCTTTTGATTGAGCAGTTTTGAACAACCTGTTTTGTAGAATCTGCTTGTGGATATTTGTAGCTCTTGGAAGAATTCATTGTAAAAGGGATATCTTCACATACACACAAGTCAGAAGCATTCTCAGAAACTTCTTTGTGATTGTGAATTGAACTCACAGAGTTGATCCTTCCTTCTGAGAGAGCCGTTTTGAAACAATCTTTTTGAAGTATCTTCAATTGGATACTTGTAGTGATTTGAGGCCTAAGATGGAAAAGGAAATATCTTCACATACAATCTAGACAGAAGCACTCTCAGAAGCTGCTTGGTGATGTCTGCATTCAACTCACAGACTTTAACCCTTGTTTTGAAAGAGCAGTGTTGAAACACACATTTTGTAGGATCTGCAAGTGTTCATTTGGAGAGCTTTTGTGCCTATGGTGGAAAAAGCAATATCTTCACATAAATACTAGACAGAAGCATTCTCAGAAACTGCTTTGTGATGTGTGCATTCAACTCACAGAGTTGAACCTTCCTTTTGAGAGAGAGATTTTGAAACAGTCTTTTTGTAGTATCTGCAAGTGGATATTTTTAGTGATTTGAGGTGTAAGATGGAAAAGGAAATACCTTCACCTACAAACTAGACAGAAGCATTCTCAGAAACTGCTTGGTGATGTGTGCATTCAACTCACAGAGTTGAAACTTTCTTTTGAGAATGCAGTTTTGAAACAGTCTTCTTGTAGTATCTGCAAGTGGATATTTGGAGCGATTTGAGGCCTATGATGGAAAAGGAAATATGTTCACATACAAACTAGACACAAGCGTTCTCAGAAACTGCTTTGTGATGTGTGCATTCACCTCACAGAGTGGAACCGTTCTTTGGATAGAGCAGTTTTGAAACAGTCTTTCTCTAGTATCTGCAAGTGTTCATTTTGAGCGCTTTGAGGCCCATGATGGAAAAGTTAATATTTTCACATAAACCTAGACAGAAGCTTTCTCAGGAATTTCATTGAGATGTGTGCATTAAGGTAACTGATTTGAATACGTCTTTTGATAGAGCAGTATTGAAACACTTCTTTTGTATAATCTGCCTGTGGATATCTGGAACTCTTTGAAGAATTCTTTGGAAACGGCTATCTTCACATAAAAACTAGACCCAAGCATTCTCAGAAAGTTCTTTGTGATATGTACATTGGACTCCAGACTTGAACCTTTCTTTTGATAGAGCAGTGTTGGAACACACTTTTTGTAGAATCTTCATGTTTTCTTTTGGAGTGCTCTGTTGCCTATGGTGGAAAAAGGAATATCTTCACCTACAAACCAGACAGAAGCATTCTCAGAGACTGCTTTGTGATGTGTGTGTTCAATTCGCAGAGTTGAAAGTTGATTTTGATAGAGCAGTTTTGAAACACTGCTTTTGTAGAATCTGCTTGTTGCTATTGGGGGCTCTTTGAGGAATTTGTTGTAAACGGGATATCTTCACATACAAAGTAGACAGAAGCATTCTCAAAAACTGCTCTGTGATGTGTGCATTGGAATCACAGAGTTGAACCTTCCTTTTGCGAGAGCTGTTTTGAAGCAGTCTTTTTGTGGTATCTGCAATTGAATATTTGGATCGATTTGAGGCCTAAGATGGAAAAGGAAATATCTTCACATACAAACTAGACAGAAGCATTCTCAGACACTGCGTTGTGATGTGTACATTCAACTCACAGAGTTGAACCTTCCTTTTGAGAGCAGTTTTGAAACAGTCTTTTTGAAGTATCTGCAAATGGATGTTTGGAGAGATTTGAGGCCTAAGAGGGAAAAGGATATATCTTCACGTAAAAACTAGGCAGAAGAATTCTCAGAAACTGCTTTGTGATGTGGGGATTCAACTCACAGACTTGAGACTTTCCTTTGATAGAGCAGTGTTGAAACACACTTTTTGTAGAATCTCCAAGTGTTCATTTGGAGTGCTTTCTTGTCCATGGTCGAAAAAGAAATATCTTCACGTAAGAACTAGGCAGAAACATTCTCAGAAAATACTTTGTGATGTAGTTGTTCAATTCACAGGGTTGAACCTTTCTTTAGATAAAGCAGTTTGGAAACACTGCTTTTGTAGAATCTTCTTGTGGATATTTGAAGCTGTTTGAGGAATTCGTTTTAAAGAGGATACCTTCACATTCAAACTAGTCAGAAGCATTCTCAAAAACTGCTTTGTGATGTGTGCATTCAACACACGGAGTTGAACCTTCCTTCTGAGAGAACAGTTTTCAAACAGTCTTTTTGTAGTATCTGCAAGTCGATATTTGGAACGATTTGAGGTCTATGAGGGAAAAGGAACTATATTCACATACAAACTAGACAGAAGCATGCTCAGAAACTGCTTTGTGATGTGTGCATTCAACTCACAGAGTTGAACCTTCCTTTTGAGAGAGAGGTTTTGAAACAGTCTTTTTGTAGTATATACAAGTGGATATTTTTAGGGATTTGAGGTCTAAGATGGAAAAGGAAATACCTTCACCTACAACCTAGACAGAAGCATTCTCAGAAACTGCTTTGTGATGTGTGCATTCAACACACGGAGTTGAACCTTCCTTCTGAGAGAACGGTTTTCAAACAGTCTTTTTGTAGTATCTGCAAGTCGATATTTGGAACGATTTGAGGCCTATGAGGGAAAAGGAACTATCTTCACATACAAACTAGACAGAAGCATGCTCAGAAACTGCTTTGTGATGTGTGCATTCAACTCACAGAGTTGAACCTTCCTTTTGAGAGAGAGGTTTTGAAACAATATTTTTATAGTATATACAAGTGGATAGTTTTAGTGATTTGAGGTCTAAGATGGAAAAGGAAATACCTTCACCTACAAACTAGACAGAAGCATTCTCAGAAACTGCTTTGTGATGTGTGTATTAAACTTACAGACTTGAAACCATATTTTGATAGAGCAGTGTTGAAACACACTTTTCATAGAATCTGCAAGTGTTCATTTGGAGAGCTTTGTTGCCTGAGGTGGAAAAAGAAACGTGTTCACATACAAACTAGAAACAAGAATTCTCAGAAACTCCTTTGAGATGTTTGTGTCCAATTCACAAAGTTGAACCTTTCTTTTGATAGAGCATATTTGAAACACTGCTTTTGTAGAATCTGCTTGCGGATATTTGGAGGTCTTTGAGGAATTAGGCGTATACGGGAGATCTTTACATACAAGTTACACAGAAGCATTCTCAGAAACTGCTTTGTGATGTGTGCATTCAACTCACAGAGTTGAAACTTTCTTTTGAGAAAGCAGTTCTGAAACAGTCTTTCTGTAGTATCTGCAAGTGCATATTTGGAGCGATTTGAGGCCTATGATGGAAAAGGAAATATGTTCACATACAAACTAGACAGAAGCGTTCTCAGAAACGGCTTTGTGATGTGTGCATTCACCTCACAGAGTGGAACCGTTCTTTGGATAGAGCAGTTTTGAAACAGTCTTTCTCTAGTATCTGCAAGTGTTCATTTTGAGCGCTTTGAGGCCCATGATGGAAAAGGAAATATTTTCACATAAAAACTAGACAGAAGCTTTCTCAGGAACTTCATTGAGATGTGTGCATTAAAGTAACTGAGTGGAATACGTCTTTTGATAGAGCAGTATTGAAACACTTCTTTTGTAGAATCTGCCTGTGGATATCTGGAACTCTTTGAAGAATTCTTTGGAAACGGCTATCTTCACATAAAAAGTAGACCCAAGCATTCTCAGAAAGTTCTTTGTGATATGTACATTGGACTCCCAGACTTGAACCTTTCTTTTGATAGAGCAGTGTTGGAACACACTTTTTGTAGAATCTTCATGTGTTCGTTTGGAGTGCTCTGTTGCCTCTGCTGGAAAAAGGAATATCTTCACCTAAAAACCAGACAGAAGCATTCTCAGAGACTGCTTTGTGATGTGTGTGTTCAATTCGCAGAGTTGAAAGTTGCTTTGGATAGAGCAGTTTTGAAACACTGCTTTTGTAGAATCTGCTTGTTGCTATTGGGGGCTCTTTGAGGAATTTGTTGTAAACGGGATATCTTCACATACAAAGTAGACAGAAGCATTCTCAGAAACTGCTCTGTGATGTGTGCATTCAACTCACAGAGTTGAACCTTCCTTTTGCGAGAGCTGTTTTGAAGCAGTCTTTTTGTGGTATCTGCAATTGGATATTTGGATCGATTTGAGGCCTAAGATGGAAAAGGAAATATCTTCACATACAAACTAGACAGAAGCATTCTCAGACACTGCGTTGTGATGTGTGCATTCAACTCACAGAGTTGAACCTTCCTTTTGAGAGCAGTTTTGAAACAGTCTTTTTGAAGTATCTGCAAGTGGATGTTTGGAGAGATTTGAGGCCTAAGATGGAAAAGGATATATCTTCACCTAAAAACTAGGCAGAAGCATTCTCAGAAACTGCTTTGTGATGTGAGGATTCGACTCACAGGCTTGAAACTTTCTTTTGATAGAGCAGGGTTGAAACACACTTTTTGTAGAATCTGCAAGTGTTCATTTGGAGTGCTTTCTTGCCCATGGTGGAAAAAGAAATATCTTCACGTAAAAACTAGACAGAAAACATTCTCAGAAAATACTTTGTGATGTGGTTGTTCAATTCACAGGGTTGAACCTTTCTTTAGATAAAGCAGTTTTGAAACACTGCTTTTGTAGAATCTTCTTGTGGATATTTGGAGCTGTTTGAGGAATTCGTTTTAAACGGGATATCTTCACATTCAAACTAGTCAGAAGCATTCTCAGAAACTGGTTTGTGATGTGTGCATTCTACTCACAGAGTTGAACCTTCCTTTTGAGAGAGCAGTTTTGAAACAATCTTTTTGTATTCTCTACAAGTGGATACTTGGAGCAATGGGAGGACTAAGATTGAAAAGGAAATATCTTCACGGCCAAACTTGACAGAAGCTTTCTCAGAATCTGCTTTGTGATGTGTGCATTTACCTCACAGAGTGGAACCGTCCTTTTGATAGAGCAGTTCTGAAACAGTCTTTTTGTAGGATCTGCGAGTGTTCATTTTGGAGCGCTTTTAAGCCTTTGGCGGAAAAGGAAATATCTTCACAAAAAAACTAGACAGAGGCATGCTCAGGAACTTCACTGAGATGTGTGCATTCAAGTAACTGAGTTGAATCTGCCTTTTGATAGAGCAGAATTGAAACACTCCTTTTGTAGAATCTGCTTGTGGATATTTGGAACTCTTTCAGGAGTTCGTTGGCAACTGGTATCTTCACAAAAAAAGGAGACCCAAGGATTCTCAAAAAGTTCCTTGAGATGTGTGCCTTAAACTCACAGACTTCAAACTTTCTTTTGAGAGATCAGTGTTGGAACACGCTTTTTGTAGAATCTGCAAGTGTTCATTTAGTGCGCTTTGTTGCCTATGGTGGAAAAAGAAATATCTTCAAATGAAAACTAGACAGAAACATTCTCAGAAACTCCTTTGTGAAGTGTGTGTCAAATTCACAGAATTGAAATATTCCTTTGATAGCGCAGCTTTGAAACACCGCTTTTATAGGATCTGCTTGTGGATATCTGGAGCTCTTTGAGGAATTTGTTGTAAACGGGATATCTTCACATACAAAGTAGACAGAAGCATTCTCAGAAACTGCTTTGTGATGTGTGCATTCCAATCACAGACTTCAACCTTTCTTTTGAAAGAGCAGTGTTCAAACACACATTTTGTAGGATGTGCAAGTGTTCACTTGGAGCGCTTTTTTGCCTATGGTGGAAAAAGAAATATCTTCACATAAATACTAGACAGAAGCATTCTCAGAAACGCCTTAGTGATGTGTTTGTTCTATTCAGAGAGTTGAACCTTTCTTTTGATAGAGCAGTTTTGATACACTGCTTCTGTAGAATCTGCTTGTGGATATTTGGAGCTCTTTGAGGAATTCGTTGTAAACGGGATATCTTCACATACAAACTAGACAGAAGCATTCTCAGAAACTGCTTTGTGGTGTGGGCATTCAACTCACAGAGTTGAACCTTCCTTCTGAGAGAGCAGTTTTTAAACAGTCTCTTTGAAATATCTGCAAGTGGATATTTGGAGCGATGGGAAGTCTAAGTTTGAAAAGGAAATATCCTCACATACAAACTAGACAGAAGCAATCTCATTAACTGCTTTGTGGTGTGGGCATTCAACTCACAGAGTTGAACCTTCCTTTTGAGAGAGCAGTTTTGAAACAGTCTCTTTGAAATATCTGCAAGTGGATATTTGGAGCGATGGGAAGTCTAAGTTTGAAAAGGAAATATCCTCACATACAAACTAGACAGAAGCAATCTCATTAACTGCTTTGCGATGTGTGCATTCAGCTCACAGAGTTGAACCTTCCTTTTGAGAGAGCAGTTTTGAAACAGTTTTTTGTAGTATCCTCAAGTGGATATATGGAGCGATGTGAGGCTTAAGATGGAAACGGGAATATCTTCACATGCAAACTAGAAAGAAGCATTCTCAGAGACTGCTTTGTGATGTGTGTGTTCAATTCACAGGGTCGACACTTTCTTTTGATTGAGCAGTTTTCAACCACCTGTTTTGTAGAATCTGCTTGTGGATATTTGTAGCTCTTGGAGGAATTCTTTGTAAAAGGGATATCTTCACATACACCCTAGTCAGAAGCATTCTCAGAAACTTTTTTGTGAAGTGTGAATTGAACTCACAGAGTTGAACCTTCCTTTTGAGAGAGCCGTTTTGAAACAATCTTTTTGAAGTATCTTCAATTGGATGCTTGTGGTGATTTGAGGGCTAAGATGGAAAAGGAAATATCTTCACATACAATCTAGACAGAAGCACTCTCAGAAGCTGCTTGGTGATGTCTGCATTCAACTCACAGACTTGAACCCTTGTTTTGAAAGAGCAGTATTGAAACACACATTTTGTACGATCTGCAAGTGTTCATTTGGAGCGCTTTTGTGCCTATGGTGGATAAAGAAATATCTTCACATAAATACTAGACAGAAGCATTCTCAGAAACTGCTTTGTGATGTGTGCATTCAACTCACAGAGTTGAACCTTCCTTTTGAGAGAGAGGTTTTGAAACAGTCTTTTTGTAGTATCTGCAAGTGGATATTTTTAGTGATTTGAGTTCTATGATGGAAAAGGAAATACCTTCACCTACAAACTAGACAGAAGCATTCTCAGAAACTGCTTTGTGATGTGTGCATTAAACTTACAGAGTTGAAACTTTATTTTGATAGAGCAGTGTTGAAACACACTTTTTATAGAATCTGCAAGTGTTCATTTGGAGAGCTTTTTTGCCTGTGGTGGAAAAAGAATATGTTCACATACAAACTAGAAAGAAGCATTCTCAGAAACTCCTTTGTGATGTTTGTGTCCAATTCACAAAGTTGAACCTTTCTTTTGATAGAGCAGATTTGAAACACTGCTTTTGTAGAATCTCCTTGCGGATATTTGGAGGTCTTTGAGGATTTCGTTGTAAACGGGATATCTTCACATACAAACTAGACAGAAGCATTCTCAGAAACTGCTTAGTGATGTGTGCATTCAACTCACAGATTTGAACCTTTGTTTTGAAAGAGCAGTGTTGAAACATACATTTTCTAGGATGTGCAAGTGTTCACTTGGAGCGCTTTTTTGCCTATGGTGGAAAAAGAAATATCTTCACATAAATACTAGACAGAAGCATTCTCAGAAACGCCTTAGTGATGTGTTTGTTCTATTCAGAGAGTTGAACCTTTCTTTTGATAGAGCAGTTTTGATACACTGCTTCTGTAGAATCTGCTTGTGGATATTTGGAGCTACTTTGAGGAATTCGTTGTAAACGGGATATCTTCACATACAAACTAGACAGAAGCATTCTCAGAAACTGCTTTGTGGTGTGTGCATTCAACTCACAGAGTTGAACCTTCCTTCTGAGAGAGCAGTTTTTAAACAGTCTCTTTGAAATATCTGCAAGTGGATATTTGGAGCGATGGGAAGTCTAAGTTTGAAAAGGAAATATCCTCACATACAAACTAGACAGAAGCAATCTCATTAACTGCTTTGCGATGTGTGCATTCAGCTCACAGAGTTGAACCTTCCTTTTGAGAGAGCAGTTTTGAAACAGTTTTTTGTAGTATCCTCAAGTGGATATATGGAGCGATGTGAGGCTTAAGATGGAAACGGGAATATCTTCACATGCAAACTAGAAAGAAGCATTCTCAGAAACTGCTTTGTGATGGGTGCATTCAACTCAGAGACTTGAACATTTCTTTAGACGGAGCAGTGTTGAAACACACATATGCAGAATCTGCAAGAGTTCATTTGGAGCGCTTTGATGCCTATGGTGGAAAAAGAAATATCTTCACATAAAGACTAGAAAGGAAGCGTTCTCCGAAACTCCTTTGTGATATATGTGTTCAGTTCACAGGAGTTGAACCTTTCTTTTGATTGAGCAGTTTTGAAACACTGCTTTTCTAGAATCTGCTTTTGGATATTTGAAGCTCTTTGACGAATTCACTGTCAATGTTATATCTTCACATACAAACTAGACAGAAGCATTCTCAGAAACTGCTTTTTGATGTGTGCATTCAACACACGGAGTTGAACCTTCCTTCTGAGAACAGTTTTGAAGCAGTCTTTTTGTGGTATCTGCAAGTCGATATTTGGAACGATTTGGGACCTATGAGGGAAAAGGAACTATCTTCACATACAAGCTAGACAGAAGCATTCTCAGAAACTGCTTTGTGATGTGTGCATTCAACACACGGAGTTGAACCTTCCTTCTGAGAGAACGGTTTTCAAACAGTCTTTTTGTAGTATCTGCAAGTCGATATTTGGAACGATTTGAGGCCTATGAGGGAAAAGGAACTATCTTCACATACAAACTAGACAGAAGCATGCTCAGAAACTGCTGTGTGATGTGTGCATTCAACTCACAGAGTTGAACCTTCCTTTTGAGAGAGACGTTTTGAAACAGTCTTTTTGTAGTATGTACAGGTGGATATTTTTGGTGATTTGAGGTCTAAGATGGAAAAGGAAATACCTTCACCTACAAACTAGACAGAAGCATTCTCAGAAACTGCTTTGTGATGTGTGCATTAAACTTACAGACTTGAAACCTTATTTTGATAGAGCAGTGTTGAAACACACTTTTTATAGAATCTGCAAGTGTTCATTTGGAGAGCTTTGTTGCCTGTGGTGGAAAAAGAAATGTGTTCACATACAAACTAGAAAGAAGCATTCTCAGAAACTCCTTTTCGATGTTTGTGTCCAATTCACAAAGTTGAACCTTTCTTTTGATAAAGCAGATTTGAAACACTGCTTTTGTAGAATCTGCTTGCATTTTTTTTGGAGGTCTTTGAGGAATTGGGCGTATACGGGATATCTTCACATACAAATTACACAGAAGCATTCTCAGAAACTGCTCTGTGATGTGTGCATTCCTCTCACAGAGTTGAAACTTTCTTTTGAGAAAGCTGTTCTGAAACAGTCTTTTTGTAGTATCTGCAAGTGGATATTTGGAGCGATTTGAGGCCTATGATGGAAAAGGAAATATGTTCACTTACAAACTAGACAGAAGCATTCTCAGAAACTGCTTTGTGATGTGTGTGTTCAATTCACAGGGTTGACTCTTTCTTTTGATTGAGCAGTTTTGAACCACCTGTTTTGTAGAATCTGCTTGTGGATATTTGTAGCTCTTGGAGGAATTCTTTGTAAAAGGGATATCTTCACATACACACTAGTCAGAAGCATTCTCAGAAACTTCTTTGTGATGTGTGAATTGAACTCACAGAGTTGAACCTTCCTTTTGAGAGAGCCGTTTTGAAACAATCTTTTTGAAGTATCTTCAATTGGATGTTTGTAGTGATTTGAGGCCTAAGATGGAATAGGAAATATCTTCACATACAATCTAGACAGAAGCACTCTCAGAAGCTGCTTGGTGATGTCTGCATTCAACTCACAGACTTGAACCCTTGTTTTGCAAGAGCAGTGTTGAAACACACATTTTGTACGATCTGCAAGTGTTCATTTGGAACGCTGTTGTGCCTATGGTGGATAAAGAAATATCTTCACATAAATACTAGAAAGTAGCATTCTCAGAAACTGCTTTATGATGTGTGCATTCAACTCACAGAGTTGCACCTTCCTTTTGAGAGAGAGGTTTTGAAACAGTCTTTTTGTAGTATCTGCAAGTGGATATTTTTAGTGATTTGAGGTCTAAGATGGAAAAGGAAATACCTTCACCTACAAACTAGACAGAAGCATTCTCAGAAACTGCTTTGTGATGTGTGCATTAAACTTACAGACTTGAAACTTTATTTTGATAGAGCAGTGTTGAAACACACTTTTTATAGAATCTGCAAGTGTTCATTTGGAGAGCTTTGTTGCCTGTGGTGGAAAAAGGAATATGTTCACCTAGAAACTAGAAAGAAGCCTTCTCAGAAACTCCTTTGAGATGTTTGTGTCCAATTCACAAAGTTGAACCTTTCTTTTGATAGAGCAGATTTGAAACACTGCTTTTGTAGAATCTGCTTGCGGATATTTGGCGGTCTTTTAGGAATTGGGCGTATACGGGAGATCTTCACATACAAGTTACACAGAAGCATTCTCAGAAACTGCTTTGTGATGTGTGCATTCAACTCACAGAGTTGAAACTTTCTTTTGAGAAAGCAGTTTTGAAACAGTCTTTTTGTAGTATCTGCAAGTGGATATTTGGAGCGATTTGAGGCCTATGATGGAAAAGGAAATATGTTCACATACAAACTAGACAGAAGCGTTCTGAGAAACTGCTTTGTGATGTGTGCATTCACCTCACAGAGTGGAACCTTTCTTTGGATAGAGCAGTTTTGAAACAGTCTTTCTCTAGTATCTGCAAGTGTTCATTTTGAGCGCTTTGAGGCCCATGATGGAAAAGGAAATATTTTCACATAAAAACTAGACAGAAGCTTTCTCAGGAACTTCATTGAGATGTGTGCATTAAAGTAACTGAGTGGAATACGTCTTTTGATAGAGCAGTATTGAAACACTTCTTTTGTAGAATCTGCCTGTGGATATCTGGAACTCTTTGAAGAATTCTTTGGAAACGGCTATCTTCACATAAAAAGTAGACCCAAGCATTCACAGAACGTTCTTTGTGACATGTACATTGGACTCCCAGACTTGAAACTTTCTTTTGATAGAGCAGTGTTGGAACACACTTTTTGTAGAATCTTCATGTGTTCGTTTGGAGTGCTCTGTTGCCTATGGTGGAAAAAGGAATATCTTCACCTAAAAACCAGACAGAAGCATTCTCCGAGACTGCTTTGTGATGTGTGTGTTCAATTCGCAGAGTTAAAAGTTCCTTTTGATAGAGCAGTTTTGAAACACTGCTTTTGTAGAATCTGCTTGTTGCTATTGGGGGCTCTTTGAGGAATTTGTTGTAAACGGGATATCTTCACATACAAAGTAGACAGAAGCATTCTCAGAAACTGCTTTGTGATGTGTGCATTCCAATCACAGACTTCAACCTTTCTTTTGAAAGAGCAGTGTTGAAACACACATTTTGTAGCATGTGCAAGTGTTCACTTGGAGCTCTTTTTTGCCTATGGTGGAAAAAGAAATATCTTCACATAAATACTAGACAGAAGCATTCTCAGAAACTCCTTTGTGATGTGTTTGTTCTATTCAGAGTGTTGAACCTTTATTTTGATAGAGCAGAATTGAAACACTCCTTTTGTAGAATCTGCTTGTGGATATTTGGAGCTCTTTGAGGAATTCGTTGTAAACGGGATATCTTCACATACAAACTAGACAGCAGCATTCTCAGAAACTGCTTTGTGGTGTGGGCATTCAACTCACAGAGTTGAACCTTCCTTCTGAGAGAGCAGTTTTTAAACAGTCTCTTTGAAATATCTGCAAGTGGATATTTGGAGCGATGGGAAGTCTAAGTTTGAAAAGGAAATATCCTCACATACAAACTAGACAGAAGCAATCTCATTAACTGCTTTGCGATGTGTGCATTCAGCTCACAGAGTTGAACCTTCCTTTTGAGAGAGCAGTTTTGAAACAGTTTTTTGTAGTATCCTCAAGTGGATATATGGAGCGATGTGAGGCTTAAGATGGAAACGGGAATATCTTCACATGCAAACTAGAAAGAAGCATTCTCAGAAACTGCTTTGTGATGGGTGCATTCAACTCAGAGACTTGAACATTTCTTTAGACGGAGCAGTGTTGAAACACACATATGCAGAATCTGCAAGAGTTCATTTGGAGCGCTTTGATGCCTATGGTGGAAAAAGAAATATCTTCACATAAAGACTAGAAAGAAGCGTTCTCCGAAACTCCTTTGTGATATATGTGTTCAGTTCACAGAGTTGAACCTTTCTTTTGATTGAGCAGTTTTGAAACACTGCTTTTCTAGAATCTGCTTTTGGATATTTGAAGCTCTTTGACGAATTCGCTGTCAATGTTATATCTTCACATACAAACTAGACAGAAGCATTCTGAGAAACTGCTTTTTGATGTGTGCATTCAACACACGGAGTTGAACCTTCCTTCTGAGAACAGTTTTGAAGCAGTCTTTTTGTGGTATCTGCAAGTCGATATTTGGAACGATTTGGGACCTATGAGGGAAAAGGAACTATCTTCACATACAAGCTAGACAGAAGCATACTCAGAAACTGCTTTGTGATGTGTGCATTCAACTCACAGAGTTGAGCCTTCCTTTTGAGAGAGAGGTTTTGAAACAGTCTTTTTGTAGTATATACAAGTGGATATTTTTAGTGATTTGAGGTCTAATATGGAAAAGGAAATACCTTCACCTACAAACTAGACAGAAGCATTCTCAGAAACTGCTTTGTGATGTGTGCATTAAACTTACAGACTTGAAACTTTATTTTGATAGAGCAGTGTTGAAACACACTTTTTATAGAATCTGCAAGTGTTCATTTGGAGAGCTTTGTTGCCTGTGGTGGAAAAAGGAATATGTTCACCTAGAAACTAGAAAGAAGCCTTCTCAGAAACTCCTTTGAGATGTTTGTGTCCAATTCACAAAGTTGAGCCTTTCTTTTGATAGAGCAGATTTGAAACACTGCTTTTGTAGAATCTGCTTGCGGATATTTGGCGGTCTTTGAGGAATTGGGCGTATACGGGAGATCTTCACATACAAGTTACACAGAAGCATTCTCAGAAACTGCTTTGTGATGTGTGCATTCAACTCACAGAGTTGAAACTTTCTTTTGAGAAAGCAGTTTTGAAACAGTCTTTTTGTAGTATCTGCAAGTGGATATTTGGAGCGATTTGAGGCCTATGATGGAAAAGGAAATATGTTCACATACAAACTAGACAGAAGCGTTCTGAGAAACTGCTTTGTGATGTGTGCATTCACCTCACAGAGTGGAACCTTTCTTTGGATAGAGCAGTTTTGAAACAGTCTTTCTCTAGTATCTGCAAGTGTTCATTTTGAGCGCTTTGAGGCCCATGATGGAAAAGGAAATATTTTCACATAAAAACTAGACAGAAGCTTTCTCAGGAACTTCATTGAGATGTGTGCATTAAAGTAACTGAGTTGAATACGTCTTTTGATAGAGCAGTATTGAAACACTTCTTTTGTAGAATCTGCCTGTGGATATCTGGAACTCTTTGAAGAATTCTTTGGAAACGGCTATCTTCACATAAAAAGTAGACCCAAGCATTCTCAGAAAGTTCTTTGTGATATGTACATTGGACTCCCAGACTTGAAACTTTCTTTTTATAGAGCAGTGTTGGAACACACTTTCTGTAGAATCTTCATGTGTCCGTTTGGAGTGTTCTGTTGCCTATGGTGGAAAAAGGAATATCTTCACCTAAAAACCAGACAGAAGCATTCTCCGAGACTGCTTTGTGATGTGTGTGTTCAATTCGCAGAGTTAAAAGTTCCTTTTGATAGAGCAGTTTTGAAACACTGCTTTTGTAGAATCTGCTTGTTGCTATTGGGGGCTCTTTGAGGAATTTGTTGTAAACGGGATATCTTCACATACAAAGTAGACAGAAGCATTCTCAGAAACTGCTTTGTGATGTGTGCATTCCAATCACAGACTTCAACCTTTCTTTTGAAAGAGCAGTGTTGAAACACACATTTTGTAGCATGTGCAAGTGTTCACTTGGAGCTCTTTTTTGCCTATGGGGAAAAAGAAATATCTTCACATAAATACTAGACAGAAGCATTCTCAGAAACTCCTTTTTGATGTGTTTGTTCTATTCAGAGAGTTGAACCTTTCTTTTGATAGAGCAGTTTTGATACACTGCTTCTGTAGAATCTGCTTGTGGATATTTGGAGCTCTTTGAGGAATTCGTTGTAAACGGGATATCTTCGCATACAAACTAGACAGCAGCATTCTCAGAAACTGCTTTGTGGTGTGTGCATTCAACTCACAGAGTTGAACCTTCCTTCTGAGAGAGCAGTTTTTAAACAGTCTCTTTGAAATATCTGCAAGTGGATATTTGGAGCGATGGGAAGTCTAAGTTTGAAAAGGAAATATCCTCACATACAAACTAGACAGAAGCAATCTCATTAACTGCTTTGCGATGTGTGCATTCAGCTCACAGAGTTGAACCTTCCTTTTGAGAGAGCAGTTTTGAAACAGTTTTTTGTAGTATCCTCAAGTGGATATATGGAGCGATGTGAGGCTTAAGATGGAAACGGGAATATCTTCACATGCAAACTAGAAAGAAGCATTCTCAGAAACTGCTTTGTGATGGGTGCATTCAACTCAGAGACTTGAACATTTCTTTAGACGGAGCAGTGTTGAAACACACATATGCAGAATCTGCAAGAGTTCATTTGGAGCGCTTTGATGCCTATGGTGGAAAAAGAAATATCTTCACATAAAGACTAGAAAGAAGCGTTCTCCGAAACTCCTTTGTGATATATGTGTTCAGTTCACAGAGTTGAACCTTTCTTTTGATTGAGCAGTTTTGAAACACTGCTTTTCTAGAATCTGCTTTTGGATATTTGAAGCTCTTTGACGAATTCACTGTCAATGTTATATCTTCACATACAAACTAGACAGAAGCATTCTCAGAAACTGCTTTTTGATGTGTGCATTCAACACACGGAGTTGAACCTTCCTTCTGAGAACAGTTTTGAAGCAGTCTTTTTGTGGTATCTGCAAGTCGATATTTGGAACGATTTGGGACCTATGAGGGAAAAGGAACTATCTTCACGTACAAGCTAGACAGAAGCATTCTCAGAAACTGCTTTGTGATGTGTGCATTCAACACACGGAGTTGAACCTTCCTTCTGAGAGAACGGTTTTCAAACAGTCTTTTTGTAGTATCTGCAAGTCGATATTTGGAACGATTTGAGGCCTATGAGGGAAAAGGAACTATCTTCACATACAAACTAGACAGAAGCATGCTCAGAAACTGCTGTGTGATGTGTGTATTCAACTCACAGAGTTGAACCTTCCTTTTGAGAGAGACGTTTTGAAACAGTCTTTTTGTAGTATGTACAGGTGGATATTTTTGGTGATTTGAGGTCTAAGATGGAAAAGGAAATACCTTCACCTACAAACTAGACAGAAGCATTCTCAGAAACTGCCTTGTGATGTGTGCATTAAACTTACAGACTTGAAACCTTATTTTGATAGAGCAGTGTTGAAACACACTTTTTATAGAATCTGCAAGTGTTCATTTGGAGAGCTTTGTTGCCTGTGGTGGAAAAAGAAATGTGTTCACATACAAACTAGAAAGAAGCCTTCTCAGAAACTCCTTTGAGATGTTTGTGTCCAATTCACAAAGTTGAACCTTTCTTTTGATAGAGCAGATTTGAAACACTGCTTTTGTAGAATCTGCTTGCATGTATTTGGAGGTCTTTGAGGAATTGGGCGTATACGGGATATCTTCACATACAAATTACACAGAAGCATTCTCAGAAACTGCTCTGTGATGTGTGCATTCCTCTCACAGAGTTGAAACTTTCTTTTGAGAAAGCTGTTCTGAAACAGTCTTTTTGTAGTATCTGCAAGTGGATATTTGGAGCGATTTGAGGCCTATGATGGAAAAGGAAATATGTTCACTTACAAACTAGACAGAAGCATTCTCAGAAACTGCTTTGTGATGTGTGTGTTCAATTCACAGGGTTGACTCTTTCTTTTGATTGAGCAGTTTTGAACCACCTGTTTTGTAGAATCTGCTTGTGGATATTTGTAGCTCTTGGAGGAATTCTTTGTAAAAGGGATATCTTCACATACACACTAGTCAGAAGCATTCTCAGAAACTTCTTTGTGATGTGTGAATTGAACTCACAGAGTTGAACCTTCCTTTTGAGAGAGCCGTTTTGAAACAATCTTTTTGAAGTATCTTCAATTGGATGTTTGTAGTGATTTGAGGCCTAAGATGGAAGAGGAAATATCTTCACATACAATCTAGACAGAAGCACTCTCAGAAGCTGCTTGGTGATGTCTGCATTCAACTCACAGACTTGAACCCTTGTTTTGAAAGAGCAGTGTTGAAACACACATTTTGTACGATCTGCAAGTGTTCATTTGGAACGCTGTTGTGCCTATGGTGGATAAAGAAATATCTTCACATAAATACTAGAAAGTAGCATTCTCAGAAACTGCTTTGTGATGTGTGCATTCAACTCACAGAGTTGCACCTTCCTTTTGAGAGAGAGGTTTTGAAACAGTCTTTTTGTAGTATCTGCAAGTGGATATTTTTAGTGATTTGAGGTCTAAGATGGAAAAGGAAATACCTTCACCTACAAACTAGACAGAAGCATTCTCAGAAACTGCTTTGTGATGTGTGCATTAAACTTACAGACTTGAAACTTTATTTTGATAGAGCAGTGTTGAAACACACTTTTTATAGAATCTGCAAGTGTTCATTTGGAGAGCTTTGTTGCCTGTGGTGGAAAAAGGAATATGTTCACCTAGAAACTAGAAAGAAGCCTTCTCAGAAACTCCTTTGAGATGTTTGTGTCCAATTCACAAAGTTGAACCTTTCTTTTGATACAGCAGATTTGAAACACTGCTTTTGTAGAATGTGCTTGTGGATATTTGGAGGTCTTTGAGGAATTGGGCGTATACGGGATATCTTCACATACAAATTACACAGAAGCATTCTCAGAAACTGCTTTGTGCTGTGTGCATTCAACTCACAGAGTTGAAACTTTCTTTTGAGAAAGCAGTTCTGAAACAGTCTTTTTGTAGTATCTGCAAGTGGATATTTGGAGCGATTTGAGGCCTATGATGGAAAAGGAAATATGTTCACATACAAACTAGACAGAAGCGTTCTGAGAAACTGCTTTGTGATGTGTGCATTCACCTCACAGAGTGGAACCTTTCTTTGGATAGAGCAGTTTTGAAACAGTCTTTCTCTAGTATCTGCAAGTGTTCATTTTGAGCGCTTTGAGGCCCATGATGGAAAAGGAAATATTTTCACATAAAAACTAGACAGAAGCTTTCTCAGGAACTTCATTGAGATGTGTGCATTAAAGTAACTGAGTTGAATACGTCTTTTGATAGAGCAGTATTGAAACACTTCTTTTGTAGAATCTGCCTGTGGATATCTGGAACTCTTTGAAGAATTCTTTGGAAACGGCTATCTTCACATAAAAAGTAGACCCAAGCATTCACAGAACGTTCTTTGTGACATGTACATTGGACTCCCAGACTTGAAACTTTCTTTTGATAGAGCAGTGTTGGAACACACTTTTTGTAGAATCTTCATGTGTTCGTTTGGAGTGCTCTGTTGCCTATGGTGGAAAAAGGAATATCTTCACCTAAAAACCAGACAGAAGCATTCTCCGAGACTGCTTTGTGATGTGTGTGTTCAATTCGCAGAGTTAAAAGTTCCTTTTGATAGAGCAGTTTTGAAACACTGCTTTTGTAGAATCTGCTTGTTGCTATTGGGGGCTCTTTGAGGAATTTGTTGTAAACGGGATATCTTCACATACAAAGTAGACAGAGGCATTCTCAGAAACTGCTCTGTGATGTGTGCATTCAACTCACAGAGTTGAACCTTCCTTTTGCGAGAGCTGTTTTGAAGCAGTCTTTTTGTGGTATCTGCAATTGGATATTTGGATCGATTTGAGGCCTAAGATGGAAAAGGAAATATCTTCACATACAAACTAGACAGAAGCATTCTCAGACACTGCGTTGTGATGTGTGCATTCAACTCACAGAGTTGAACCTTCCTTTTGAGAGCAGTTTTGAAACAGTCTTTTTGAAGTATCTGCAAGTGGATGTTTGGAGAGATTTGAGGCCTAAGATGGAAAAGGATATATCTTCACCTAAAAACTAGGCAGAAGCATTCTCAGAAACTGCTTTGTGATGTGGGGATTCAACTCACAGGCTTGAAACTTTCTTTTGATAGAGCAGGGTTCAAACACACTTTTTGTAGAATCTGCAAGTGTTCATTTGGAGTGCTTTCTTGCCCATGGTGGAAAAAGAAATATCTTCACGTAAAAACTAGACAGAAACATTCTCAGAAAATACTTTGTGATGTGGTTGTTCAATTCACAGGGTTGAACCTTTCTTTAGATAAAGCAGTTTTGAAACACTGCTTTTGTAGAATCTTCTTGTGGATATTTGGAGCTGTTTGAGGAATTCGTTTTAAACGGGATATCTTCACATTCAAACTAGTCAGAAGCATTCTCAGAAACTGGTTTGTGATGTGTGCATTCTACTCACAGAGTTGAACCTTCCTTTTGAGAGAGCAGTTTTGAAACAATCTTTTTGTATTCTCTACAAGTGGATACTTGGAGCAATGGGAGGACTAAGATTGAAAAGGAAATATCTTCACGGCCAAACTTGACAGAAGCTTTCTCAGAATCTGCTTTGTGATGTGTGCATTTACCTCACAGAGTGGAACCGTCCTTTTGATAGAGCAGTTCTGAAACAGTCTTTTTGTAGGATCTGCGAGTGTTCATTTTGGAGCGCTTTTAAGCCTTTGGCGGAAAAGGAAATATCTTCACAAAAAAACTAGACAGAGGCATGCTCAGGAACTTCACTGAGATGTGTGCATTCAAGTAACTGAGTTGAATCTGCCTTTTGATAGAGCAGAATTGAAACACTCCTTTTGTAGAATCTGCTTGTGGATATTTGGAACTCTTTCAGGAGTTCGTTGGCAGCTGGTATCTTCACAAATAAAGGAGACCCAAGGATTCTCAAAAAGTTCCTTGAGATGTCTGCCTTAAACTCACAGACTTCAAACTTTCTTTTGAGAGATCAGTGTTGGAACACGCTTTTTGTAGAATCTGCAAGTGTTCATTTAGTGTGCTTTGTTGCCTATGGTGGAAAAAGAAATATCTTCAAATGAAAACTAGACAGAAACATTCTCAGAAACTCCTTTGTGAAGTGTGTGTCAAATTCACAGAATTGAAATATTCCTTTGATAGCGCAGCTTTGAAACACCGCTTTTATAGGATCTGCTTGTGGATATCTGGAGCTCTTTGAGGAATTTGTTGTAAACGGGATATCTTCACATACAAAGTAGACAGAAGCATTCTCAGAAACTGCTTTGTGATGTGTGCATTCCAATCACAGACTTCAACCTTTCTTTTGAAAGAGCAGTGTTCAAACACACATTTTGTAGGATGTGCAAGTGTTCACTTGGAGCGCTTTTTTGCCTATGGTGGAAAAAGAAATATCTTCACATAAATACTAGACAGAAGCATTCTCAGAAACGCCTTAGTGATGTGTTTGTTCTATTCAGAGAGTTGAACCTTTCTTTTGATAGAGCAGTTTTGATACACTGCTTCTGTAGAATCTGCTTGTGGATATTTGGAGCTCTTTGAGGAATTCGTTGTAAACGGGATATCTTCACATACAAACTAGACAGAAGCATTCTCAGAAACTGCTTTGTGGTGTGTGCATTCAACTCACAGAGTTGAACCTTCCTTCTGAGAGAGCAGTTTTTAAACAGTCTCTTTGAAATATCTGCAAGTGGATATTTGGAGCGATGGGAAGTCTAAGTTTGAAAAGGAAATATCCTCACATACAAACTAGACAGAAGCAATCTCATTAACTGCTTTGCGATGTGTGCATTCAGCTCACAGAGTTGAACCTTCCTTTTGAGAGAGCAGTTTTGAAACAGTTTTTTGTAGTATCCTCAAGTGGATATATGGAGCGATGTGAGGCTTAAGATGGAAACGGGAATATCTTCACATGCAAACTAGAAAGAAGCATTCTCAGAAACTGCTTTGTGATGGGTGCATTCAACTCAGAGACTTGAACATTTCTTTAGACGGAGCAGTGTTGAAACACACATATGCAGAATCTGCAAGAGTTCATTTGGAGCGCTTTGATGCCTATGGTGGAAAAAGAAATATCTTCACATAAAGACTAGAAAGAAGCGTTCTCCGAAACTCCTTTGTGATATATGTGTTCAGTTCACAGAGTTGAACCTTTCTTTTGATTGAGCAGTTTTGAAACACTGCTTTTCTAGAATCTGCTTTTGGATATTTGAAGCTCTTTGACGAATTCACTGTCAATGTTATATCTTCACATACAAACTAGACAGAAGCATTCTCAGAAACTGCTTTTTGATGTGTGCATTCAACACACGGAGTTGAACCTTCCTTCTGAGAACAGTTTTGAAGCAGTCTTTTTGTGGTATCTGCAAGTCGATATTTGGAACGATTTGGGACCTATGAGGGAAAAGGAACTATCTTCACATACAAGCTAGACAGAAGCATACTCAGAAACTGCTTTGTGATGTGTGCATTCAACTCACAGAGTTGAGCCTTCCTTTTGAGAGAGAGGTTTTGAAACAGTCTTTTTGTAGTATATACAAGTGGATATTTTTAGTGATTTGAGGTCTAATATGGAAAAGGAAATACCTTCACCTACAAACTAGACAGAAGCATTCTCAGAAACTGCTTTGTGATGTGTGCATTAAACTTACAGACTTGAAACTTTATTTTGATAGAGCAGTGTTGAAACACACTTTTTATAGAATCTGCAAGTGTTCATTTGGAGAGCTTTGTTGCCTGTGGTGGAAAAAGGAATATGTTCACCTAGAAACTAGAAAGAAGCCTTCTCAGAAACTCCTTTGAGATGTTTGTGTCCAATTCACAAAGTTGAACCTTTCTTTTGATAGAGCAGATTTGGAACACTGCTTTTGTAGAATCTGCTTGCGGATATTTGGCGGTCTTTGAGGAATTGGGCGTATACGGGAGATCTTCACATACAAGTTACACAGAAGCATTCTCAGAAACTGCTTTGTGATGTGTGCATTCAACTCACAGAGTTGAAACTTTCTTTTGAGAAAGCAGTTTTGAAACAGTCTTTTTGTAGTATCTGCAAGTGGATATTTGGAGCGATTTGAGGCCTATGATGGAAAAGGAAATATGTTCACATACAAACTAGACAGAAGAGTTCTCAGAAACTGCTTTGTGATGTGTGCATTCACCTCACAGAGTGGAACCGTTCTTTGGATAGAGCAGTTTTGAAACAGTCTTTCTCTAGTATCTGCAAGTGTTCATTTTGAGCGCTTTGAGGCCCATGATGGAAAAGGAAATATTTTCACATAAAAACTAGACAGAAGCTTTCTCAGGAACTTCACTGAGATGTGTGCATTAAAGTAACTGAGTGGAATACGTCTTTTGATAGAGCAGTATTGAAACACTTCTTTTGTAGAATCTGCCTGTGGATATCTGGAACTCTTTGAAGAATTCTTTGGAAACGGCTATCTTTCACATAAAAAGTAGACCCAAGCATTCTCAGAAAGTTCTTTGTGATATGTACATTGGACTCCCAGACTTGAACCTTTCTTTTGATAGAGCAGTGTTGGAACACACTTTTTGTAGAATCTTCATGTGTTCGTTTGGAGTGCTCTGTTGCCTCTGCTGGAAAAAGGAATATCTTCACCTAAAAACCAGACAGAAGCATTCTCAGAGACTGCTTTGTGATGTGTGTGTTCAATTCGCAGAGTTGAAAGTTGCTTTTGATAGAGCAGTTTTGAAACACTGCTTTTGTAGAATCTGCTTGTTGCTATTGGGGGCTCTTTGAGGAATTTGTTGTAAACGGGATATCTTCACATACAAACTAGACAGAAGCATTCTCACAAACTGCTCTGTGCTGTGTGCATTCAACTCACAGAGTTGAACCTTCCTTTTGCGAGAGCTGTTTTGAAGCAGTCTTTTTGTGGTATCTGCAATTGGATATTTGGATCGATTTGAGGCCTAAGATGGAAAAGGAAATATCTTCACATACAAACTAGACAGAAGCATTCTCAGACACTGCGTTGTGATGTGTGCATTCAACTCACAGAGTTGAACCTTCCTTTTGAGAGCAGTTTTGAAACAGTCTCTTTGAAGTATCTGCAAGTGGATGTTTGGAGAGATTTGAGGCCTAAGATGGAAAAGGATATATCTTCACCTAAAAACTAGGCAGAAGCATTCTCAGAAACTGCTTTGTGATGTGGGGATTCAACTCACAGGCTTGAAACTTTCTTTTGATAGAGCAGGGTTGAAACACACTTTTTGTAGAATCTGCAAGTGTTCATTTGGAGTGCTTTCTTGCCCATAGTGGAAAAAGAAATATCTTCACGTAAAAACTAGACAGAAACATTCTCCGAAAATACTTTGTGATGTAGTTGTTCAATTCACAGGGTTGATCCTTTCTTTAGATAAAGCAGTTTTGAAACACTACCTTTGTAGAATCTTCCTGTGGATATTTGGAGCTGTTTGAGGAATTCGTTTTAAACGGGATATCTTCACATTCAAACTAGTCAGAAGCATTCTCAGAAACTGGTTTGTGATGTGTGCATTCTACTCATAGAGTTGAACCTTCTTTTTGAGAGAGCAGTTTTGAAACAATCTTTGTGTATTCTCTACAAGTGGATACTTGGAGCAATGGGAGGACTAAGATTGAAAAGGAAATATCTTCACGGCCAAACTTGACAGAAGCTTTCTGAGAATCTGCTTTGTGATGTGTGCATTCACCTCACAGAGTGCAACCGTCCTTTTGATACAGCAGTTCTGAAACAGTCTTTTTGTAGGATCTGCGAGTGTTCATTTTGGAGCGCTTTTAAGCCTTTGGAGGAAAAGGAAATATCTTCAGAAAAAACTAGACAGAGTCATGCTCAGGAACGTCACTGAGATGTGTGCATTCAAGTAACTGAGTTGAATCTGCCTTTTGATAGAGCAGAATTGAAACACTCCTTTTGTAGAATCTGCTTGTGGATATTTGGAACTCTTTCAGGAATTCGTTGGCAGCTGGTATCTTCACAAAAAAAGGAGAAACAAGCATTCTCAAAAAGTTCTTTGAGATGTGTGCCTTAAACTCACAGACTTCAAACTTTCTTTTGAGAGATCAGTGTTGGAACACGCTTTTTGTAGAATCTGCAAGTGTTCATTTAGTGCGCTTTGTTGCCTATGGTGGAAAAAGAAATATCTTCAAATGAAAACTAGACAGAAACATTCTCAGAAACTCCTTTGTGAAGTGTGTGTCAAATTCACAGAATTGAAATTTTCTTTTGATAGAGCAGTTTTGAAACACCGCTTTTATAGGATCTGCTTGTGGATATTTGGAGCTCTTTGAGGATTTCGTTGTAAACGGGATATCTTCACATAAAAACTAGACAGAAGCATTCTCAGAAACTGCTTTGTGATGTGTGCATTCAACTCACAGACTTGAACCTTTCTTTTGAAAGAGCAGTGTTGAATCACACATTTTGTAGGATGTGCAAGTGTTCACTTGGAGTCCTTTTTTGCCTATGGTGGAAAAAGCAATATCTTCACATAAATACTAGACAGAAGCATTCTCAGAAACACCTTTGTGATATGTGTGTTCAGTTCACAGAGTTGAACCTTTCTTTTGATTGAGCAGTTTTGAAACAATGCTTTTCTAGAATCTGCTTGTGGATATTTGGAGCTCTTTGAGGAATTCGCTTTCAATGGGATATCTTCACATACAAACTAGACAGAAGCCATTCTCAGAAACTGCTTTGTGGTGTGTGCATTCAACTCACAGAGGTGAACCTTCCTTCTGAGATAGCAGTTTTTAAACAGTCTCTTTGAAATATCTGCAAGTGGATATTTGGAGCGATGGGAAGTCTAAGATTGAAAAGGAAATATCCTCACATACAAACTAGACAGAAAGCAATCTCATTAACTGCTTTGCGATGTGTGCATTCAGCTCACAGAGTTGAACCTTCCTTTTGAGAGAGCAGTTTTGAAACAGTTTTTTGTAGTATCCTCAAGTGGATATATGGAGCGATGTGAGGCTTAAGATGGAAACGGGAATATCTTCACATGCAAACTAGAAAGAAGCATTCTCAGAAACTGCTTTGTGATGGGTGCATTCAACTCAGAGACTTGAACATTTCTTTAGACAGAGCAGTGTTGAAACACACATATGCAGAATCTGCAAGAGTTCATTTGGAGCGCTTTGATGCCTATGGTGGAAAAAGAAATATCTTCACATAAAGACTAGAAAGAAGCGTTCTCCGAAACTCCTTTGTGATATATGTGTTCAGTTCACAGAGTTGAACCTTTCTTTTGATTGAGCAGTTTTGAAACACTGCTTTTCTAGAATCTGCTTTTGGATATTTGAAGCTCTTTGACGAATTCGCTGTCAATGTTATATCTTCACATACAAACTAGACAGAAGCATTCTCAGAAACTGCTTTTTGATGTGTGCATTCAACACACGGAGTTGAACCTTCCTTCTGAGAACAGTTTTGAAGCAGTCTTTTTGTGGTATCTGCAAGTCGATATTTGGAACGATTTGGGACCTATGAGGGAAAAGGAACTATCTTCACATACAAGCTAGACAGAAGCATTCTCAGAAACTGCTTTGTGATGTGTGCATTCAACACACGGAGTTGAACCTTCCTTCTGAGAGAACGGTTTTCAAACAGTCTTTTTGTAGTATCTGCAAGTCGATATTTGGAACGATTTGAGGCCTATGAGGGAAAAGGAACTATCTTCACATACAAACTAGACAGAAGCATGCTCAGAAACTGCTGTGTGATGTGTGCATTCAACTCACAGAGTTGAACCTTCCTTTTGAGAGAGACGTTTTGAAACAGTCTTTTTGTAGTATGTACAGGTGGATATTTTTGGTGATTTGAGGTCTAAGATGGAAAAGGAAATACCTTCACCTACAAACTAGACAGAAGCATTCTCAGAAACTGCTTTGTGATGTGTGCATTAAACTTACAGACTTGAAACCTTATTTTGATAGAGCAGTGTTGAAACACACTTTTTATAGAATCTGCAAGTGTTCATTTGGAGAGCTTTGTTGCCTGTGGTGGAAAAAGAAATGTGTTCACATACAAACTAGAAAGAAGCCTTCTCAGAAACTCCTTTGAGATGTTTGTGTCCAATTCACAAAGTTGAACCTTTCTTTTGATAGAGCAGATTTGAAACACTGCTTTTGTAGAATCTGCTTGCATGTATTTGGAGGTCTTTGAGGAATTGGGCGTATACGGGATATCTTCACATACAAATTACACAGAAGCATTCTCAGAAACTGCTCTGTGATGTGTGCATTCCTCTCACAGAGTTGAAACTTTCTTTTGAGAAAGCTGTTCTGAAACAGTCTTTTTGTAGTATCTGCAAGTGGATATTTGGAGCGATTTGAGGCCTATGATGGAAAAGGAAATATGTTCACTTACAAACTAGACAGAAGCATTCTCAGAAACTGCTTTGTGATGTGTGTGTTCAATTCACAGGGTTGACTCTTTCTTTTGATTGAGCAGTTTTGAACCACCTGTTTTGTAGAATCTGCTTGTGGATATTTGTAGCTCCTTGGAGGAATTCTTTGTAAAAGGGATATCTTCAAATACACACTAGTCAGAAGCATTCTCAGAAACTTCTTTGTGATGTGTGAATTGAACTCACAGAGTTGAACCTTCCTTTTGAGAGAGCCGTTTTGAAACAATCTTTTTGAAGTATCTTCAATTGGATGTTTGTAGTGATTTGAGGCCTAAGATGGAAGAGGAAATATCTTCACATACAATCTAGACAGAAGCACTCTCAGAAGCTGCTTGGTGATGTCTGCATTCAACTCACAGACTTGAACCCTTGTTTTGCAAGAGCAGTGTTGAAACACACATTTTGTACGATCTGCAAGTGTTCATTTGGAACGCTGTTGTGCCTATGGTGGATAAAGAAATATCTTCACATAAATACTAGAAAGTAGCATTCTCAGAAACTGCTTTGTGATGTGTGCATTCAACTCACAGAGTTGCACCTTCCTTTTGAGAGAGAGGTTTTGAAACAGTCTTTTTGTAGTATCTGCAAGTGGATATTTTTAGTGATTTGAGGTCTAAGATGGAAAAGGAAATACCTTCACCTACAAACTAGACAGAAGCATTCTCAGAAACTGCTTTGTGATGTGTGCATTAAACTTACAGACTTGAAACTTTATTTTGATAGAGCAGTGTTGAAACACACTTTTTATAGAATCTGCAAGTGTTCATTTGGAGAGCTTTGTTGCCTGTGGTGGAAAAAGGAATATGTTCACCTAGAAACTAGAAAGAAGCCTTCTCAGAAACTCCTTTGAGATGTTTGTGTCCAATTCACAAAGTTGAACCTTTCTTTTGATAGAGCAGATTTGGAACACTGCTTTTGTAGAATCTGCTTGCGGATATTTGGCGGTCTTTGAGGAATTGGGCGTATACGGGAGATCTTCACATACAAGTTACACAGAAGCATTCTCAGAAACTGCTTTGTGATGTGTGCATTCAACTCACAGAGTTGAAACTTTCTTTTGAGAAAGCAGTTTTGAAACAGTCTTTTTGTAGTATCTGCAAGTGGATATTTGGAGCGATTTGAGGCCTATGATGGAAAAGGAAATATGTTCACATACAAACTAGACAGAAGCGTTCTGAGAAACTGCTTTGTGATGTGTGCATTCACCTCACAGAGTGGAACCTTTCTTTGGATAGAGCAGTTTTGAAACAGTCTTTCTCTAGTATCTGCAAGTGTTCATTTTGAGCGCTTTGAGGCCCATGATGGAAAAGGAAATATTTTCACAGAAAAACTAGACAGAAGCTTTCTCAGGAACTTCATTGAGATGTGTGCATTAAAGTAACTGAGTGGAATACGTCTTTTGATAGAGCAGTATTGAAACACTTCTTTTGTAGAATCTGCCTGTGGATATCTGGAACTCTTTGAAGAATTCTTTGGAAACGGCTATCTTCACATAAAAAGTAGACCCAAGCATTCTCAGAAAGTTCTTTGTGATATGTACATTGGACTCCCAGACTTGAACCTTTCTTTTGATAGAGCAGTGCTGGAACACACTTTTTGTAGAATCTTCATGTGTTCGTCTGGAGTGCTTTGTTGCCTATGGTAGAAAAAGGAATATCTTCACCTAAAAACAAGACAGAAGCATTCTCAGAGACTGCTTTGTGATGTGTGTGTTCAATTCGCTGAGTTGAATGTTCCTTTTGATAGAGCAGTTTTGAAACACTGCTTTTGTAGAATCTGCTTGTTGATATTGGGGGCTCTATGAGGAATTTGTTGTAAACGGGATATCTTCACATACAAAGTAGACAGAAGCATTCTCAGAAACTGCTCTGTGATGTGTGCATTCAACTCACAGAGTTGAACCTTCCTTTTGCGAGAGCTGTTTTGAAGCAGTCTTTTTGTGGTATCTGCAATTGGATATTTGGATCGATTTGAGGCCTAAGATGGAAAAGGAAATATCTCCACATACAAACTAGACAGAAGCATTCTCAGACACTGCGTTGTGATGTGTGCATTCAACTCACAGAGTTGAACCTTCCTTTTGAGAGCAGTTTTGAAACAGTCTTTTTGAAGTATCTGCAAGTGGATGTTTGGAGAGATTTGAGGCCTAAGATGGAAAAGGATATATCTTCACCTAAAAACTAGGCAGAAGCATTCTCAGAAACTGCTTTGTGATGTGGGGATTCAACTCACAGGCTTGAAACTTTCTTTTGATAGAGCAGGGTTCAAACACACTTTTTGTAGAATCTGCAAGTGTTCATTTGGAGTGCTTTCTTGCCCATGGTGGAAAAAGAAATATCTTCATGTAAAAACTAGACAGAAACATTCTCAGAAAATACTTTGTGATGTGGTTGTTCAATTCACAGGGTTGAACCTTTCTTTAGATAAAGCAGTTTTGAAACACTGCTTTTGTAGAATCTTCTTGTGGATATTTGGAGCTGTTTGAGGAATTCGTTTTAAACGGGATATCTTCACATTCAAACTAGTCAGAAGCATTCTCAGAAACTGGTTTGTGATGTGTGCATTCTACTCACAGAGTTGAACCTTCCTTTTGAGAGAGCAGTTTTGAAACAATCTTTTTGTATTCTCTACAAGTGGATACTTGGAGCAATGGGAGGACTAAGATTGAAAAGGAAATATCTTCACGGCCAAACTTGACAGAAGCTTTCTCAGAATCTGCTTTGTGATGTGTGCATTTACCTCACAGAGTGGAACCGTCCTTTTGATAGAGCAGTTCTGAAACAGTCTTTTTGTAGGATCTGCGAGTGTTCATTTTGGAGCGCTTTTAAGCCTTTGGCGGAAAAGGAAATATCTTCACAAAAAAACTAGACAGAGGCATGCTCAGGAACTTCACTGAGATGTGTGCATTCAAGTAACTGAGTTGAATCTGCCTTTTGATAGAGCAGAATTGAAACACTCCTTTTGTAGAATCTGCTTGTGGATATTTGGAACTCTTTCAGGAGTTCGTTGGCAGCTGGTATCTTCACAAAAAAAGGAGACCCAAGGATTCTCAAAAAGTTCCTTGAGATGTGTGCCTTAAACTCACAGACTTCAAACTTTCTTTTGAGAGATCAGTGTTGGAACACGCTTTTTGTAGAATCTGCAAGTGTTCATTTAGTGCGCTTTGTTGCCTATGGTGGAAAAAGAAATATCTTCAAATGAAAACTAGACAGAAACATTCTCAGAAACTCCTTTGTGAAGTGTGTGTCAAATTCACAGAATTGAAATATTCCTTTGATAGCGCAGCTTTGAAACACCGCTTTTATAGGATCTGCTTGTGGATATCTGGAGCTCTTTGAGGAATTTGTTGTAAACGGGATATCTTCACATACAAAGTAGACAGAAGCATTCTCAGAAACTGCTTTGTGATGTGTGCATTCCAATCACAGACTTCAACCTTTCTTTTGAAAGAGCAGTGTTCAAACACACATTTTGTAGGATGTGCAAGTGTTCACTTGGAGTGCTTTTTTGCCTATGGTGGAAAAAGAAATATCTTCACATAAATACTAGACAGAAGCATTCTCAGAAACGCCTTAGTGATGTGTTTGTTCTATTCAGAGAGTTGAACCTTTCTTTTGATAGAGCAGTTTTGATACACTGCTTCTGTAGAATCTGCTTGTGGATATTTGGAGCTCTTTGAGGAATTCGTTGTAAACGGGATATCTTCACATACAAACTAGACAGAAGCATTCTCAGAAACTGCTTTGTGGTGTGTGCATTCAACTCACAGAGTTGAACCTTCCTTCTGAGAGAGCAGTTTTTAAACAGTCTCTTTGAAATATCTGCAAGTGGATATTTGGAGCGATGGGAAGTCTAAGTTTGAAAAGGAAATATCCTCACATACAAACTAGACAGAAGCAATCTCATTAACTGCTTTGCGATGTGTGCATTCAGCTCACAGAGTTGAACCTTCCTTTTGAGAGAGCAGTTTTGAAACAGTTTTTTGTAGTATCCTCAAGTGGATATATGGAGCGATGTGAGGCTTAAGATGGAAACGGGAATATCTTCACATGCAAACTAGAAAGAAGCATTCTCAGAAACTGCTTTGTGATGGGTGCATTCAACTCAGAGACTTGAACATTTCTTTAGACGGAGCAGTGTTGAAACACACATATGCAGAATCTGCAAGAGTTCATTTGGAGCGCTTTGATGCCTATGGTGGAAAAAGAAATATCTTCACATAAAGACTAGAAAGAAGCGTTCTCCGAAACTCCTTTGTGATATATGTGTTCAGTTCACAGAGTTGAACCTTTCTTTTGATTGAGCAGTTTTGAAACACTGCTTTTCTAGAATCTGCTTTTGGATATTTGAAGCTCTTTGACGAATTCGCTGTCAATGTTATATCTTCACATACAAACTAGACAGAAGCATTCTGAGAAACTGCTTTTTGATGTGTGCATTCAACACACGGAGTTGAACCTTCCTTCTGAGAACAGTTTTGAAGCAGTCTTTTTGTGGTATCTGCAAGTCGATATTTGGAACGATTTGGGACCTATGAGGGAAAAGGAACTATCTTCACATACAAGCTAGACAGAAGCATTCTCAGAAACTGCTTTGTGATGTGTGCATTCAACACACGGAGTTGAACCTTCCTTGTGAGAGAAGAGTTTTCAAACAGTCTTTTTGTAGTACCTGCAAGTCGATATTTGGAACGATTTGAGGCCTATGAGGGAAAAGGAACTATTTTCACATACAAACTAGACAGAAGCATGCTCAGAAACTGCTTTGTGATGTGCGCATTCAACTCACAGAGTTGAACCTTCCTTTTGAGAGAGAGGTTTTGAAACAGTCTTTTTGTAGCATATACAAGTGGATATTTTTAGTGATTTGAGGTCTAATATGGAAAAGGAAATACCTTCACCTACAAACTAGACAGAAGCATTCTCAGAAACTGCTTTGTGATGGGTGCATTAAATGTACAGACTTGAAACCTTATTTTGATAGAGCAGTGTTGAAACACACTTTTTATAGAATCTGCAAGTGTTCATTTTGAGAGCTTTGTTGCCTGTGGTGGAAAAAGAAATGTGTTCACATACAAACTAGAAAGAAGCCTTCTCAGAAACTCCTTTGAGATGTTTGTGTCCAATTCACAAAGTTGAACCTTTCTATTGATACAGCAGATTTGAAACTCTGCTTTTGTAGAATCTGCTTGTGAATATTTGGAGGTATTTGAGGAATTGGACGTATACGGGATATCTTCACATACAAATTACACAGAAGCATTGTCAGAAACTGCTTTGTGCTGTGTGCATTCAACTCACAGAGTTGAAACTTTCTTTTGAGAAAGCAGTTCCGAAACAGTCTTTTTGTAGTATCTGCAAGTGGATATTTGGAGCGATTTGAGGCCTATGATGGAAAAGGAAATATGTTCACATACAAACTAGACAGAAGCGTTCTCAGAAACTGCTTTGTGATGTGTGCATTCACCTCACAGAGTGGAACCGTTCTTTGGATAGAGCAGTTTTGAAACAGTCTTTCTCTAGTATCTGCAAGTGTTCATTTTGAGCGCTTTTAGGCCCATGATGGAATAGGAAATATTTTCACATAAAAAGTAGACAGAAGCTTTCTCAGGAACTTCATTGAGATGTGTGCATTAAAGTAACTGAGTTGAATACGTCTTTTGATAGAGCAGTATTGAAACACTTATTTGTAGAATCTGCCTGTGGATATCTGGAACTCTTTGAAGAATTCTTTGGAAACGGCTATCTTCACATAAAAAGTAGACCCAAGCATTCTCAGAAAGTTCTTTGTGATATGTACATTGGACTCCCAGACTTGAACATTTCTTTTGATAGAGCAGTGTTGGAACACACTTTTTGTAGAATCTTCATGTGTTCGTTTGGAGTGCTTTGTTGCCTATGGTGGAAAAAGGAATATCTTCACCTAAAAACCAGACAGAAGCATTCTCCGAGACTGCTTTGTGATGTGTGTGTTCAATTCGCAGAGTTAAAAGTTCCTTTTGATAGAGCAGTTTTGAAACACTGCTTTTGTAGAATCTGCTTGTTGCTATTGGGGGCTCTTTGAGGAATTTGTTGTAAACGGGATATCTTCACATACAAAGTAGACAGAAGCATTCTCAGAAACTGCTTTGTGATGTGTGCATTCCAATCACAGACTTCAACCTTTCTTTTGAAAGAGCAGTGTTGAAACACACATTTTGTAGCATGTGCAAGTGTTCACTTGGAGCTCTTTTTTGCCTATGGGGAAAAAGAAATATCTTCACATAAATACTAGACAGAAGCATTCTCAGAAACGCCTTAGTGATGTGTTTGTTCTATTCAGAGAGTTGAACCTTTCTTTTGATAGAGCAGTTTTGATACACTGCTTCTGTAGAATCTGCTTGTGGATATTTGGAGCTCTTTGAGGAATTCGTTGTAAACGGGATATCTTCACATACAAACTAGACAGAAGCATTCTCAGAAACTGCTTTGTGGTGTGTGCATTCAACTCACAGAGTTGAACCTTCCTTCTGAGAGAGCAGTTTTTAAACAGTCTCTTTGAAATATCTGCAAGTGGATATTTGGAGCGATGGGAAGTCTAAGTTTGAAAAGGAAATATCCTCACATACAAACTAGACAGAAGCAATCTCATTAACTGCTTTGCGATGTGTGCATTCAGCTCACAGAGTTGAACCTTCCTTTTGAGAGAGCAGTTTTGAAACAGTTTTTTGTAGTATCCTCAAGTGGATATATGGAGCGATGTGAGGCTTAAGATGGAAACGGGAATATCTTCACATGCAAACTAGAAAGAAGCATTCTCAGAAACTGCTTTGTGATGGGTGCATTCAACTCAGAGACTTGAACATTTCTTTAGACGGAGCAGTGTTGAAACACACATATGCAGAATCTGCAAGAGTTCATTTGGAGCGCTTTGATGCCTATGGTGGAAAAAGAAATATCTTCACATAAAGACTAGAAAGAAGCGTTCTCCGAAACTCCTTTGTGATATATGTGTTCAGTTCACAGAGTTGAACCTTTCTTTTGATTGAGCAGTTTTGAAACACTGCTTTTCTAGAATCTGCTTTTCGATATTTGAAGCTCTTTGACGAATTCACTGTCAATGTTATATCTTCACATACAAACTAGACAGAAGCATTCTCAGAAACTGCTTTTTGATGTGTGCATTCAACACACGGAGTTGAACCTTCCTTCTGAGAACAGTTTTGAAGCAGTCTTTTTGTGGTATCTGCAAGTCGATATTTGGAACGATTTGGGACCTATGAGGGAAAAGGAACTATCTTCACGTACAAGCTAGACAGAAGCATTCTCAGAAACTGCTTTGTGATGTGTGCATTCAACACACGGAGTTGAACCTTCCTTCTGAGAGAACGGTTTTCAAACAGTCTTTTTGTAGTATCTGCAAGTCGATATTTGGAACGATTTGAGGCCTATGAGGGAAAAGGAACTATCTTCACATACAAACTAGACAGAAGCATGCTCAGAAACTGCTGTGTGATGTGTGCATTCAACTCACAGAGTTGAACCTTCCTTTTGAGAGAGACGTTTTGAAACAGTCTTTTTGTAGTATGTACAGGTGGATATTTTTGGTGATTTGAGGTCTAAGATGGAAAAGGAAATACCTTCACCTACAAACTAGACAGAAGCATTCTCAGAAACTGCTTTGTGATGTGTGCATTAAACTTACAGACTTGAAACCTTATTTTGATAGAGCAGTGTTGAAACACACTTTTTATAGAATCTGCAAGTCTTCATTTGGAGAGCTTTGTTGCCTGTGGTGGAAAAAGAAATGTGTTCACATACAAACTAGAAAGAAGCCTTCTCAGAAACTCCTTTGAGATGTTTGTGTCCAATTCACAAAGTTGAACCTTTCTTTTGATAGAGCAGATTTGAAACACTGCTTTTGTAGAATCTGCTTGCATGTATTTGGAGGTCTTTGAGGAATTGGGCGTATACGGGATATCTTCACATACAAATTACACAGAAGCATTCTCAGAAACTGCTTTGTGCTGTGTGCATTCAACTCACAGAGTTGAAACTTTCTTTTGAGAAAGCAGTTCTGAAACAGTCTTTCTGTAGTATCTGCAAGTGGATATTTGGAGCGATTTGAGGCCTATGATGGAAAAGGAAATATGTTCACATACAAACTAGACAGAAGAGTTCTCAGAAACTGCTTTGTGATGTGTGCATTCACCTCACAGAGTGGAACCGTTCTTTGGATAGAGCAGTTTTGAAACAGTCTTTCTCTAGTATCTGCAAGTGTCCATTTTGAGCGCTTTGAGGCCCATGATGGAAAAGGAAATATTTTCACATAAAAACTAGACAGAAGCTTTCTCAGGAACTTCATTGAGATGTGTGCATTAAAGTAACTGAGTTGAATACGTCTTTTGATAGAGCAGTATTGAAACACTTCTTTTGTAGAATCTGCCTGTGGATATCTGGAACTCTTTGAAGAATTCTTTGGAAACGGCTATCTTCACATAAAAAGTAGACCCAAGCATTCTCAGAAAGTTCTTTGCGATATGTACATTGGACTCCCAGACTTGAACCTTTCTTTTGATAGAGCAGTGTTGGAACACACTTTTTGTAGAATCTTCATGTGTTCGTTTGGAGTGCTTTGTTGCCTCTGGTGGAAAAAGGAATATCTTCACCTAAAAACCAGACAGAAGCATTCTCAGAGACTGCTTTGTGATGTGTGTGTTCAATTCGCAGAGTTGGAAGTTCCTTTTGATAGAGCAGTTTTGAAACACTGCTTTTGTAGAATCTGCTTGTTGCTATTGGGGGCTCTTTGAGGAATTTGTTGTAAACGGGATATCTTCACATACAAACTAGACAGAAGCATTCTCAGAAACTGCTCTGTGATGTGTGCATTCAACTCACAGAGTTGAACCTTCCTTTTGCGAGAGCTGTTTTGAAGCAGTCTTTTTGTGGTGTCTGCAATTGGATATTTGGATCGATTTGAGGCCTAAGATGGAAAAGGAAATATCTTCACATGCAAACTAGACAGAAGCGTTCTCAGACACTGCGTTGTGATGTGTGCATTCAACTCACAGAGTTGAACCTTCCTTTTGAGAGCAGTTTTGAAACAGTCTTTTTGAAGTATCTGCAAGTGGATGTTTGGAGAGATTTGAGGCCTAAGATGGAAAAGGATATACCTTCACCTGAAAACTAGGCAGAAGCATTCTCAGAAACTGCTTTGTGATGTGGGGATTCAACTCACAGGCTTGAAACTTTCTTTTGATAGAGCAGGGTTGAAACACACTTTTTGTAGAATCTGCAAGTGTTCATTTGGAGTGCTTTGCTTGCCCATGGTGGAAAAAGAAATATCTTCACGTAAAAACTAGACAGAAACATTCTCAGAAAATACTTTGTGATGTAGTTGTTCAATTCACAGGGTTGAAACTTTCTTTAGATAAAGCAGTTTTGAAACACTGCTTTTGTAGAATCTTCTTGTGGATATTTGGAGCTGTTTGAGGAATTCGTTTTAAACGGGATATCTTCACATTCAAACTAGTCAGAAACATTCTCAGAAACTGGTTTGTGATGTGTGCATTCTACTCACAGAGTTGAACCTTCCTTTTGAGAGAGCAGTTTTGAAACAATCTTTTTGTATTCTCTACAAGTGGATACTTGGAGCAAAGGGAGACTAAGATTGAAAAGGAAATATCTTCACGGCCAAACTTGACAGAAGCTTTCTCAGAATCTGCTTTGTGATGTGTGCATTCACCTCACAGAGTGGAACCGTCCTTTTGATAGAGCAGTTCTGAAACAGTCTTTTTGTAGGATCTGCGAGTGTTCATTTTGGAGCGCTTTTAAGCCTTTGGCGGAAAAGGAAATATCTTCACAGAAAACTAGACAGAGGCATGCTCAGGAACTTCATTGAGATGTGTGCATTCAAGTAACTGAGTTGAATCTGCCTTTTGATAGAGCAGAATTGAAACAATCCTTTTGTAGAATCTACTTGTGGATATTTGGAACTCTTTCAGGAATTCGTTGGTAGTTGGTATCTTCCCAAAAAAAGGAGACCCAAGCATTCTCAAAAAGTTCTTTGAGATGTGTGCCTTCAACTCACAGACTTCAAACATTCTTTTGAGAGATCAGTGTTGGAACACGCTTTTTGTAGAATCTGCAAGGGTTCATTTAGTGCGCTTTGTTGCCTATAGTGGAAAAAGAAATATCTTCAAATGAAAACTAGACAGAAACATTCTCAGAAACTCCTTTGTGAAGTGTGTGTCAAATTCACAGAATTGAAATTTTCTTATGATAGAGCAGTTTTGAAACACCGCATTTATAGGATCTGCTTGTGGATATTTGGAGCTCTTTGAGTATTTCGTTGTAAACGGGATATCTTCACATACAAACTAGACAGAAGCATTCACAGAAACTGCTTAGTGATGTGTGCATTCAACTCACAGACTTGAACCTTTCTCTTGAAAGAGCAGTGTTGAAACAAACATTTTGTAGGATGTGCAAGTGTTCACTTGGAGCGTTTTTTTGCCTATGGTGGAAAAAGAAATATCTTCACATAAATACTAGACAGAAGCATTCTCAGAAACTCCTTTTTGATGTGTTTGTTCTATTCAGAGAGTTGAACCTTTCTTTTGATAGAGCAGTTTTGATACACTGCTTCTGTAGAATCTGCTTGTGGATATTTGGAGCTCTTTGAGGAATTCGTTGTAAACGGGATATCTTCGCATACAAACTAGACAGCAGCATTCTCAGAAACTGCTTAGTGATGTGTGCATTCAACTCACAGACTTGAACCTTTCTCTTGAAAGAGCAGTGTTGAAACACACATTTTGTAGGATGTGCAAGTGTTCACTTGGAGCGTTTTTTTGCCTATGGTGGATAAAGAAATATCTTCACATACAAACTAGACAGAAGCAATCTCATTTACTGCTTTGTGATGTGTGCATTCAGCTCACAGAGTTGAACCTTCCTTTTGAGAGAGCAGTTTTGAAACAGTTTTTTGTAGTATCCTCAAGTGGATATATGGAGCGATGTGAGGCTTAACATGGAAACGGGAATATCTTCACATAGAAACTAGATAGAAGCATTCTCAGAAACTCCTTTGTGATGGGTGCATTCAACACAGAGACTTGAACATTTCTTTAGACGGAGCAGTGTTGAAACACACATTTGTAGAATCTGCAAGTGTTCATTTGGAGCGCTTTGATGCCTATGGTGGAAAAAGAAGTATCTTCACATAAAGACTAGAAAGAAGCCGTTCTCCGAAACTCCTTTGTGATATGTGTGTTCAATTCACAGAGTTGAACCTTTCTTTTCATTGAGCAGTTTTGAAAAACTGCTTTTCTAGAATCTGCTTGTGGATATTTGGAGCTCTTTGAGGAATTCATTGTCAATGGGATATCTTCATATACAAACTAGCCAGAAGCATTCTCAGAAACTGCTTTGTGATGTGTGCATTCAACACACGGAGTTGAACCTTCCTTCTGAGAGAACAGTTTTCAAACAGTCTTTTTGTAGTATCTGCAAGTCGCTATTTGGAACGCTATGAGGCCTATGAGGGAAAAGGAACTATCTTCACATACAAACTAGACAGAAGCATGCTCAGAAACTGCTTTGTGATGTGTGTGTTCAATTCACAGGGTTGACTCTTTCTTTTGATTGAGCAGTTTTGAACAACCTGTTTTGTAGAATCTGCTTGTGGATATTTGTAGCTCTTGGAAGAATTCATTGTAAAAGGGATATCTTCACATACACACAAGTCAGAAGCATTCTCAGAAACTTCTTTGTGATTGTGAATTGAACTCACAGAGTTGATCCTTCCTTCTGAGAGAGCCGTTTTGAAACAATCTTTTTGAAGTATCTTCAATTGGATACTTGTAGTGATTTGAGGCCTAAGATGGAAAAGGAAATATCTTCACATACAATCTAGACAGAAGCACTCTCAGAAGCTGCTTGGTGATGTCTGCATTCAACTCACAGACTTTAACCCTTGTTTTGAAAGAGCAGTGTTGAAACACACATTTTGTAGGATCTGCAAGTGTTCATTTGGAGAGCTTTTGTGCCTATGGTGGAAAAAGCAATATCTTCACATAAATACTAGACAGAAGCATTCTCAGAAACTGCTTTGTGATGTGTGCATTCAACTCACAGAGTTGAACCTTCCTTTTGAGAGAGAGATTTTGAAACAGTCTTTTTGTAGTATCTGCAAGTGGATATTTTTAGTGATTTGAGGTGTAAGATGGAAAAGGAAATACCTTCACCTACAAACTAGACAGAAGCATTCTCAGAAACTGCTTTGTGATGTGTGCATTAAACTTACAGACTTGAAACTTTATTTTGATAGAGCAGTGTTGAAACACACTTTTTATAGAATCTGCAAGTGTTCATTTGGAGAGCTTTGTTGCCTGTGGTGGAAAAAGGAATATGTTCACCTAGAAACTAGAAAGAAGCCTTCTCAGAAACTCCTTTGAGATGTTTGTGTCCAATTCACAAAGTTGAACCTTTCTTTTGATAGAGCAGATTTGAAACACTGCTTTTGTAGAATCTGCTTGCGGATATTTGGCGGTCTTTTAGGAATTGGGCGTATACGGGAGATCTTCACATACAAGTTACACAGAAGCATTCTCAGAAACTGCTTTGTGATGTGTGCATTCAACTCACAGAGTTGAAACTTTCTTTTGAGAAAGCAGTTTTGAAACAGTCTTTTTGTAGTATCTGCAAGTGGATATTTGGAGCGATTTGAGGCCTATGATGGAAAAGGAAATACGTTCACATACAAACTAGACAGAAGCGTTCTGAGAAACTGCTTTGTGATGTGTGCATTCACCTCACAGAGTGGAACCTTTCTTTGGATAGAGCAGTTTTGAAACAGTCTTTCTCTAGTATCTGCAAGTGTTCATTTTGAGCGCTTTGAGGCCCATGATGGAAAAGGAAATATTTTCACATAAAAACTAGACAGAAGCTTTCTCAGGAACTTCATTGAGATGTGTGCATTAAAGTAACTGAGTTGAATACGTCTTTTGATAGAGCAGTATTGAAACACTTCTTTTGTAGAATCTGCCTGTGGATATCTGGAACTCTTTGAAGAATTCTTTGGAAACGGCTATCTTCACATAAAAAGTAGACCCAAGCATTCACAGAACGTTCTTTGTGACATGTACATTGGACTCCCAGACTTGAAACTTTCTTTTGATAGAGCAGTGTTGGAACACACTTTTTGTAGAATCTTCATGTGTTCGTTTGGAGTGCTCTGTTGCCTATGGTGGAAAAAGGAATATCTTCACCTAAAAACCAGACAGAAGCATTCTCAGAGACTGCTTTGTGATGTGTGTGTTCAATTCGCAGAGTTGAAAGTTGCTTTGGATAGAGCAGTTTTGAAACACTGCTTTTGTAGAATCTGCTTGTTGCTACTGGGGGCTCTTTGAGGAATTTGTTGTAAACGGGATATCTTCACATAAAAAGTAGACAGAAGCATTCTCAGAAACTGCTCTGTGATGTGTGCATTCAACTCACAGAGTTGAACTTTCCTTTTGCGAGAGCTGTTTTGAAGCAGTCTTTTTGTGGTATCTGCAATTGGATATTTGGATCGATTTGAGGCCTAAGATGGAAAAGGAAATATCTTCACATACAAACTAGACAGAAGCATTCTCAGACACTGCGTTGTGATGTGTGCATTCAACTCACAGAGTTGAACCTTCCTTTTGAGAGCAGTTTTGAAACAGTCTTTTTGAAGTATCTGCAAGTGGATGTTTGGAGAGATTTGAGGCCTAAGATGGAAAAGGATATATCTTCACCTAAAAACTAGGCAGAAGCATTCTCAGAAACTGCTTTGTGATGTGGGGATTCAACTCACAGGCTTGAAACTTTCTTTTGATACAGCAGGGTTCAAACACACTTTTTGTAGAATCTGCAAGTGTTCATTTGGAGTGCTTTCTTGCCCATGGTGGAAAAAGAAATATCTTCACCTGAAAACTAGACAGAAACTTTCTCAGAAAATACTTTGTGATGTAGTTGTTCAATTCACAGGGTTGAACCTTTCTTTAGATAAAGCAGTTTTGAAACACTGCTTTTGTAGAATCTTCTTGTGGATATTTGGAGCTGTTTGAGGAATTCGTTTTAAACGGGATATCTTCACATTCAAACTAGTCAGAAGCATCCTCAGAAACTGGTTTGTGATGTGTGCATTCTACTCACAGAGTTGAACCTTCCTTTTGAGAGAACAGTTTTGAAACAATCTTTTTGTACTATCTGCAAGTGGATATTTGGAACAATGGGAGGACTAAGATGGAAAAGGAAATATCTTCACAGCCAAACTTGACAGAAGCTTTCTCAGAATCTGCTTTGTGATGTGTGCATTCACCTCACAGAGTGGAACCGTCCTTTTGATAGAGCAGTTCTGAAACAGTCTTTTTGTAGGATCTGCGAGTGTTCATTTTGGAGCGCTTTTAAGCCTTTGGCGGAAAAGGAAATATCTTCACAGAAAACTAGACAGAGGCATGCTCAGGAACTTCATTGAGATGTGTGCATTCAAGTAACTGAGTTGAATCTGCCTTTTGATAGAGCAGAATTGAAACAATCCTTTTGTAGAATCTACTTGTGGATATTTGGAACTCTTTCAGGAATTCGTTGGTAGTTGGTATCTTCCCAAAAAAAGGAGACCCAAGGATTCTCAAAAAGTTCCTTGAGATGTGTGCCTTAAACTCACAGACTTCAAACTTTCTTTTGAGAGATCAGTGTTGGAACACGCTTTTTGTAGAATCTGCAAGTGTTCATTTAGTGCGCTTTGTTGCCTATGGTGGAAAAAGAAATATCTTCAAATGAAAACTAGACAGAAACATTCTCAGAAACTCCTTTGTGAAGTGTGTGTCAAATTCACAGAATTGAAATATTCCTTTGATAGCGCAGCTTTGAAACACCGCTTTTATAGGATCTGCTTGTGGATATCTGGAGCTCTTTGAGGAATTTGTTGTAAACGGGATATCTTCACATACAAACTAGACAGAAGCATTCTCAGAAACTGCTTTGTGATGTGTGCATTCCAATCACAGACTTCAACCTTTCTTTTGAAAGAGCAGTGTTCAAACACACATTTTGTAGCCTGTGCAAGTGTTCACTTGGAGCACTTTTTTGCCTATGGTGGAAAAAGAAATATCTTCACATAAATACTAGACAGAAGCATTCTCAGAAACTCCTTTGTGATGTGTTTGTTCTATTCAGAGAGTTGAACCTTTCTTTTGATAGAGCAGAATTGAAACACTCCTTTTGTAGAATCTGCTTGTGGATATTTGGAGCTCTTTGAGGAATTCGTTGTAAAAGGGATATCTTCACATACAAACTAGACAGAAGCCATTCTCAGAAACTGCTTTGTGGTGTGTGCATTCAACTCACAGAGGTGAACCTTCCTTCTGAGATAGCAGTTTTTAAACAGTCTCTTTGAAATATCTGCAAGTGGATATTTGGAGCGATGGGAAGTCTAAGATTGAAAAGGAAATATCCTCACATACAAACTAGACAGAAGCAATCTCATTAACTGCTTTGCGATGTGTGCATTCAGCTCACAGAGTTGAACCTTCCTTTTGAGAGAGCAGTTTTGAAACAGTTTTTTGTAGTATCCTCAAGTGGATATATGGAGCGATGTGAGGCTTAAGATGGAAACGGGAATATCTTCACATGCAAACTAGAAAGAAGCATTCTCAGAAACTGCTTTGTGATGGGTGCATTCAACTCAGAGACTTGAACATTTCTTTAGACGGAGCAGTGTTGAAACACACATATGCAGAATCTGCAAGAGTTCATTTGGAGCGCTTTGATGCCTATGGTGGAAAAAGAAATATCTTCACATAAAGACTAGAAAGGAAGCGTTCTCCGAAACTCCTTTGTGATATATGTGTTCAGTTCACAGGAGTTGAACCTTTCTTTTGATTGAGCAGTTTTGAAACACTGCTTTTCTAGAATCTGCTTTTGGATATTTGAAGCTCTTTGACGAATTCACTGTCAATGTTATATCTTCACATACAAACTAGACAGAAGCATTCTCAGAAACTGCTTTTTGATGTGTGCATTCAACACACGGAGTTGAACCTTCCTTCTGAGAACAGTTTTGAAGCAGTCTTTTTGTGGTATCTGCAAGTCGATATTTGGAACGATTTGGGACCTATGAGGGAAAAGGAACTATCTTCACATACAAGCTAGACAGAAGCATACTCAGAAACTGCTTTGTGATGTGTGCATTCAACTCACAGAGTTGAGCCTTCCTTTTGAGAGAGAGGTTTTGAAACAGTCTTTTTGTAGTATATACAAGTGGATATTTTTAGTGATTTGAGGTCTAAGATGGAAAAGGAAATACCTTCACCTACAAACTAGACAGAAGCATTCTCAGAAACTGCTTTGTGATGTGTGCATTAAACTTACAGACTTGAAACTTTATTTTGATAGAGCAGTGTTGAAACACACTTTTTATAGAATCTGCAAGTGTTCATTTGGAGAGCTTTGTTGCCTGTGGTGGAAAAAGAAATGTGTTCACATACAAACTAGAAAGAAGCCTTCTCAGAAACTCCTTTGAGATGTTTGTGTCCAATTCACAAAGTTGAACCTTTCTTTTGATAGAGCAGATTTGAAACACTGCTTTTGTAGAATCTGCTTGCGTGTATTTGGAGGTCTTTGAGGAATTGGGCGTATACGGGATATCTTCACATACAAATTACACAGAAGCATTCTCAGAAACTGCTCTGTGATGTGTGCATTCAACTAACAGAGTTGAAACTTTCTTTGGAGAAAGCAGTTCTGAAACAGTCTTTTTGTAGTATCTGCAAGTGGATACTTGGAGCGATTTGAGGCCTATGATGGAAAAGGAAATATGTTCACTTACAAACTAGACAGAAGCATTCTCAGAAACTGCTTTGTGATGTGTGTGTTCAATTCACAGGGTTGACTCTTTCTTTTGATTGAGCAGTTTTGAACCACCTGTTTTGTAGAATCTGCTTGTGGATATTTGTAGCTCTTGGAGGAATTCTTTGTAAAAGGGATATCTTCACATACACACTAGTCAGAAGCATTCTCAGAAACTTCTTTGTGATGTGTGAATTGAACTCACAGAGTTGAACCTTCCTTTTGAGAGAGCCGTTTTGAAACAATCTTTTTGAAGTATCTTCAATTGGATGTTTGTAGTGATTTGAGGCCTAAGATGGAATAGGAAATATCTTCACATACAATCTAGACAGAAGCACTCTCAGAAGCTGCTTGGTGATGTCTGCATTCAACTCACAGACTTGAACCCTTGTTTTGAAAGAGCAGTGTTGAAACACACATTTTGTACGATCTGCAATTGTTCATTTGGAACGCTGTTGTGCCTATGGTGGATAAAGAAATATCTTCACATAAATACTAGAAAGTAGCATTCTCAGAAACTGCTTTGTGATGTGTGCATTCAACTCACAGAGTTGCACCTTCCTTTTGAGAGAGAGGTTTTGAAACAGTCTTTTTGTAGTATCTGCAAGTGGATATTTTTAGTGATTTGAGGTCTAAGATGGAAAAGGAAATACCTTCACCTACAAACTAGACAGAAGCATTCTCAGAAACTGCTTTGTGATGTGTGCATTAAACTTACAGACTTGAAACTTTATTTTGATAGAGCAGTGTTGAAACACACTTTTTATAGAATCTGCAAGTGTTCATTTGGAGAGCTTTGTTGCCTGTGGTGGAAAAAGGAATATGTTCACCTAGAAACTAGAAAGAAGCCTTCTCAGAAACTCCTTTGAGATGTTTGTGTCCAATTCACAAAGTTGAACCTTTCTTTTGATAGAGCAGATTTGAAACACTGCTTTTGTAGAATCTGCTTGCGGATATTTGGCGGTCTTTTAGGAATTGGGCGTATACGGGAGATCTTCACATACAAGTTACACAGAAGCATTCTCAGAAACTGCTTTGTGATGTGTGCATTCAACTCACAGAGTTGAAATTTTCTTTTGAGAAAGCAGTTTTGAAACAGTCTTTTTGTAGTATCTGCAAGTGGATATTTGGAGCGATTTGAGGCCTATGATGGAAAAGGAAATATGTTCACATACAAACTAGACAGAAGCGTTCTGAGAAACTGCTTTGTGATGTGTGCATTCACCTCACAGAGTGGAACCTTTCTTTGGATAGAGCAGTTTTGAAACAGTCTTTCTCTAGTATCTGCAAGTGTTCATTTTGAGCGCTTTGAGGCCCATGATGGAAAAGGAAATATTTTCACATAAAAACTAGACAGAAGCTTTCTCAGGAACTTCATTGAGATGTGTGCATTAAAGTAACTGAGTTGAATACGTCTTTTGATAGAGCAGTATTGAAACACTTATTTGTAGAATCTGCCTGTGGATATCTGGAACTCTTTGAAGAATTCTTTGGAAACGGCTATCTTCACATAAAAAGTAGACCCAAGCATTCTCAGAAAGTTCTTTGTGATATGTACATTGGACTCCCAGACTTGAACATTTCTTTTGATAGAGCAGTGTTGGAACACACTTTTTGTAGAATCTTCATGTGTTCGTTTGGAGTGCTTTGTTGCCTATGGTGGAAAAAGGAATATCTTCACCTAAAAACCAGACAGAAGCATTCTCCGAGACTGCTTTGTGATGTGTGTGTTCAATTCGCAGAGTTAAAAGTTCCTTTTGATAGAGCAGTTTTGAAACACTGCTTTTGTAGAATCTGCTTGTTGCTATTGGGGGCTCTTTGAGGAATTTGTTGTAAACGGGATATCTTCACATACAAAGTAGACAGAAGCATTCTCAGAAACTGCTTTGTGATGTGTGCATTCCAATCACAGACTTCAACCTTTCTTTTGAAAGAGCAGTGTTGAAACACACATTTTGTAGCATGTGCAAGTGTTCACTTGGAGCTCTTTTTTGCCTATGGTGGAAAAAGAAATATCTTCACATAAATACTAGACAGAAGCATTCTCAGAAACTGCTTTCTGATGTGTTTGTTCTATTCAGAGAGTTGAACCTTTCTTTTCATGGAGCAGTTTTGATACACGGCTTTTGTAGAATCTGCTTGTGGATATTTGGAGCTCTTTGAGGAATTCGTTGTAAACGGGATATCTTCACATACAAACTAGACAGAAGCGTTCTCAGGAACTGCTTTGTGATGTGTGCATTCAACTCACAGACTTGAACCTTTCTTTTGATAGAGCAGTGTTGAAACACACATTTGGAAGAATCTGCTTGTGGATATTTGGAGCGATTAGAGGCCTATGAAGGAAAAGGAAATATCTTCACCTACAAACTAGACAGAAGCGTTCTCAGAAACTGCTTTGTGATGTGTGCATTCACCTCACAGAGTGGAACCATTCTTTGGATAGAGCAGTTTTAAAACAGTCTTTTTCTAGTATGTGCAAGTGTTCATTTTGAGCGCTTTGAGGCCCATGATGGAAAAGGAAATATTTTCACATAAAAAGTAGACAGAAACTTTCTCAGGAACTTCATTGAGATGTGTGCATTAAAGTAACTGAGTTGAATACGTCTTTTGATAGAGCAGTATGGAAACACTTCTTTTGTAGAATCTGCCTGTGGATATCTGGAACTCTTTGAAGAATTCTTTGGAAACGGCTATCTTCACATAAAAAGTAGACCCAAACATTCTCAGACAGTTCTTTGTCATATGGACATTGGACTCCCAGACTTGAACCTTTCTTTTGATAGAGCAGTGTTGGAACACACTTTTTGTAGAATCTTCATGTATTCGTTTGGAGTGCTTTGTTGCCTATGGTGGAAAAAGAAATATCTTCACCTAAAAACCAGACAGAAGCATTCTCAGAGACTGCTTTGTGATGTGTGTGTTCAATTCGCAGAGTTGAAAGTTGATTTTGATAGAGCAGTTTTGAAACACTGCTTTTGTAGAATCTGCTTGTTGCTATTGGGGGCTCTTTGAGGAATTTGTTGTAAACGGGATATCTTCACATACAAAGTAGACAGAAGCATTCTCAGAAACTGCTCTGTGATGTGTGCATTCAACTCACAGAGTTGAACCTTCCTTTTGCGAGAGCTGTTTTGAAGCAGTCTTTTTGTGGTATCTGCAATTGGATATTTGGATCGATTTGAGGCCTAAGATGGAAAAGGAAATATCTCCACATACAAACTAGACAGAAGCATTCTCAGACACTGCGTTGTGATGTGTGCATTCAACTCACAGAGTTGAACCTTCCTTTTGAGAGCAGTTTTGAAACAGTCTTTTTGAAGTATCTGCAAGTGGATGTTTGGAGAGATTTGAGGCCTAAGATGGAAAAGGATATATCTTCACCTAAAAACTAGGCAGAAGCATTCTCAGAAACTGCTTTGTGATGTGGGGATTCAACTCACAGGCTTGAAACTTTCTTTTGATAGAGCAGGGTTGAAACACACTTTTTGTAGAATCTGCAAGTGTTCATTTGGAGTGCTTTCTTGCCCATGGTGGAAAAAGAAATATCTTCACGTAAAAACTAGACAGAAACATTCTCAGAAAATACTTTGTGATGTGGTTGTTCAATTCACAGGGTTGAACCTTTCTTTAGATAAAGCAGTTTTGAAACACTGCTTTTGTAGAATCTTCTTGTGGATATTTGGAGCTGTTTGAGGAATTCGTTTTAAACGGGATATCTTCACATTCAAACTAGTCAGAAGCATTCTCAGAAACTGGTTTGTGATGTGTGCATTCTACTCACAGAGTTGAACCTTCCTTTTGAGAGAGCAGTTTTGAAACAATCTTTTTGTATTCTCTACAAGTGGATACTTGGAGCAATGGGAGGACTAAGATTGAAAAGGAAATATCTTCACGGCCAAACTTGACAGAAGCTTTCTCAGAATCTGCTTTGTGATGTGTGCATTTACCTCACAGAGTGGAACCGTCCTTTTGATAGAGCAGTTCTGAAACAGTCTTTTTGTAGGATCTGCGAGTGTTCATTTTGGAGCGCTTTTAAGCCTTTGGCGGAAAAGGAAATATCTTCACAAAAAAACTAGACAGAGGCATGCTCAGGAACTTCACTGAGATGTGTGCATTCAAGTAACTGAGTTGAATCTGCCTTTTGATAGAGCAGAATTGAAACACTCCTTTTGTAGAATCTGCTTGTGGATATTTGGAACTCTTTCAGGAGTTCGTTGGCAGCTGGTATCTTCACAAAAAAAGGAGACCCAAGGATTCTCAAAAAGTTCCTTGAGATGTGTGCCTTAAACTCACAGACTTCAAACTTTCTTTTGAGAGATCAGTGTTGGAACACGCTTTTTGTAGAATCTGCAAGTGTTCATTTAGTGCGCTTTGTTGCCTATGGTGGAAAAAGAAATATCTTCAAATGAAAACTAGACAGAAACATTCTCAGAAACTCCTTTGTGAAGTGTGTGTCAAATTCACAGAATTGAAATATTCCTTTGATAGCGCAGCTTTGAAACACCGCTTTTATAGGATCTGCTTGTGGATATCTGGAGCTCTTTGAGGAATTTGTTGTAAACGGGATATCTTTCACATACAAAGTAGACAGAAGCATTCTCAGAAACTGCTTTGTGATGTGTGCATTCCAATCACAGACTTCAACCTTTCTTTTGAAAGAGCAGTGTTCAAACACACATTTTGTAGGATGTGCAAGTGTTCACTTGGAGCGCTTTTTTGCCTATGGTGGAAAAAGAAATATCTTCACATAAATACTAGACAGAAGCATTCTCAGAAACGCCTTAGTGATGTGTTTGTTCTATTCAGAGAGTTGAACCTTTCTTTTGATAGAGCAGTTTTGATACACTGCTTCTGTAGAATCTGCTTGTGGATATTTGGAGCTCTTTGAGGAATTCGTTGTAAACGGGATATCTTCACATACAAACTAGACAGAAGCATTCTCAGAAACTGCTTTGTGGTGTGTGCATTCAACTCACAGAGTTGAACCTTCCTTCTGAGAGAGCAGTTTTTAAACAGTCTCTTTGAAATATCTGCAAGTGGATATTTGGAGCGATGGGAAGTCTAAGTTTGAAAAGGAAATATCCTCACATACAAACTAGACAGAAGCAATCTCATTAACTGCTTTGCGATGTGTGCATTCAGCTCACAGAGTTGAACCTTCCTTTTGAGAGAGCAGTTTTGAAACAGTTTTTTGTAGTATCCTCAAGTGGATATATGGAGCGATGTGAGGCTTAAGATGGAAACGGGAATATCTTCACATGCAAACTAGAAAGAAGCATTCTCAGAAACTGCTTTGTGATGGGTGCATTCAACTCAGAGACTTGAACATTTCTTTAGACGGAGCAGTGTTGAAACACACATATGCAGAATCTGCAAGAGTTCATTTGGAGCGCTTTGATGCCTATGGTGGAAAAAGAAATATCTTCACATAAAGACTAGAAAGAAGCGTTCTCCGAAACTCCTTTGTGATATATGTGTTCAGTTCACAGAGTTGAACCTTTCTTTTGATTGAGCAGTTTTGAAACACTGCTTTTCTAGAATCTGCTTTTGGATATTTGAAGCTCTTTGACGAATTCGCTGTCAATGTTATATCTTCACATACAAACTAGACAGAAGCATTCTCAGAAACTGCTTTTTGATGTGTGCATTCAACACACGGAGTTGAACCTTCCTTCTGAGAACAGTTTTGAAGCAGTCTTTTTGTGGTATCTGCAAGTCGATATTTGGAACGATTTGAGGCCTATGAGGGAAAAGGAACTATCTTCACATACAAACTAGACAGAAGCATTCTCAGAAACTGCTTTGTGATGTGTGCATTCAACACACGGAGTTGAACCTTCCTTCTGAGAGAACAGTTTTCAAACAGTCTTTTTGTAGTATCTGCAAGTCGCTATTTGGAACGCTATGAGGCCTATGAGGGAAAAGGAACTATCTTCACATACAAACTAGACAGAAGCATGCTCAGAAACTGCTGTGTGATGTGTGCATTCAACTCACAGAGTTGAACCTTCCTTTTGAGAGAGACGTTTTGAAACAGTCTTTTTGTAGTATGTACAGGTGGATATTTTTGGTGATTTGAGGTCTAAGATGGAAAAGGAAATACCTTCACCTACAAACTAGACAGAAGCATTCTCAGAAACTGCTTTGTGATGTGTGCATTAAACTTACAGACTTGAAACCTTATTTTGATAGAGCAGTGTTGAAACACACTTTTTATAGAATCTGCAAGTGTTCATTTGGAGAGCTTTGTTGCCTGTGGTGGAAAAAGAAATGTGTTCACATACAAACTAGAAAGAAGCCTTCTCAGAAACTCCTTTGAGATGTTTGTGTCCAATTCACAAAGTTGAACCTTTCTTTTGATAGAGCAGATTTGAAACACTGCTTTTGTAGAATCTGCTTGCATGTATTTGGAGGTCTTTGAGGAATTGGGCGTATACGGGATATCTTCACATACAAATTACACAGAAGCATTCTCAGAAACTGCTCTGTGATGTGTGCATTCAACTAACAGAGTTGAAACTTTCTTTGGAGAAAGCAGTTCTGAAACAGTCTTTTTGTAGTATCTGCAAGTGGATACTTGGAGCGATTTGAGGCCTATGATGGAAAAGGAAATATGTTCACTTACAAACTAGACAGAAGCATTCTCAGAAACTGCTTTGTGATGTGTGTGTTCAATTCACAGGGTTGACTCTTTCTTTTGATTGAGCAGTTTTGAACCACCTGTTTTGTAGAATCTGCTTGTGGATATTTGTAGCTCTTGGAGGAATTCTTTTTAAAAGGGATATCTTCACATACACACTAGTCAGAAGCATTCTCAGAAACTTCTTTGTGATGTGTGAATTGAACTCACAGAGTTGAACCTTCCTTTTGAGAGAGCCGTTTTGAAACAATCTTTTTGAAGTATCTTCAATTGGATGTTTGTAGTGATTTGAGGCCTAAGATGGAATAGGAAATATCTTCACATACAATCTAGACAGAAGCACTCTCAGAAGCTGCTTGGTGATGTCTGCATTCAACTCACAGACTTGAACCCTTGTTTTGAAAGAGCAGTGTTGAAACACACATTTTGTACGATCTGCAAGTGTTCATTTGGAACGCTGTTGTGCCTATGGTGGATAAAGAAATATCTTCACATAAATACTAGAAAGTAGCATTCTCAGAAACTGCTTTGTGATGTGTGCATTCAACTCACAGAGTTGCACCTTCCTTTTGAGAGAGAGGTTTTGAAACAGTCTTTTTGTAGTATCTGCAAGTGGATATTTTTAGTGATTTGAGGTCTAAGATGGAAAAGGAAATACCTTCACCTACAAACTAGACAGAAGCATTCTCAGAAACTGCTTTGTGATGTGTGCATTAAACTTACAGACTTGAAACTTTATTTTGATAGAGCAGTGTTGAAACACACTTTTTATAGAATCTGCAAGTGTTCATTTGGAGAGCTTTGTTGCCTGTGGTGGAAAAAGGAATATGTTCACCTAGAAACTAGAAAGAAGCCTTCTCAGAAACTCCTTTGAGATGTTTGTGTCCAATTCACAAAGTTGAACCTTTCTTTTGATAGAGCAGATTTGAAACACTGCTTTTGTAGAATCTGCTTGCGGATATTTGGCGGTCTTTTAGGAATTGGGCGTATACGGGAGATCTTCACATACAAGTTACACAGAAGCATTCTCAGAAACTGCTTTGTGATGTGTGCATTCAACTCACAGAGTTGAAACTTTCTTTTGAGAAAGCAGTTTTGAAACAGTCTTTTTGTAGTATCTGCAAGTGGATATTTGGAGCGATTTGAGGCCTATGATGGAAAAGGAAATATGTTCACATACAAACTAGACAGAAGCGTTCTGAGAAACTGCTTTGTGATGTGTGCATTCACCTCACAGAGTGGAACCTTTCTTTGGATAGAGCAGTTTTGAAACAGTCTTTCTCTAGTATCTGCAAGTGTTCATTTTGAGCGCTTTGAGGCCCATGATGGAAAAGGAAATATTTTCACATAAAAACTAGACAGAAGCTTTCTCAGGAACTTCATTGAGATGTGTGCATTAAAGTAACTGAGTTGAATACGTCTTTTGATAGAGCAGTATTGAAACACTTCTTTTGTAGAATCTGCCTGTGGATATCTGGAACTCTTTGAAGAATTCTTTGGAAACGGCTATCTTCACATAAAAAGTAGACCCAAGCATTCTCAGAAAGTTCTTTGTGATATGTACATTGGACTCCCAGACTTGAACCTTTCTTTTGATAGAGCAGTGTTGGAACACACTTTTTGTAGAATCTTCATGTGTTCGTTTGGAGTGCTCTGTTGCCTCTGCTGGAAAAAGGAATATCTTCACCTAAAAACCAGACAGAAGCATTCTCAGAGACTGCTTTGTGATGTGTGTGTTCAATTCGCAGAGTTGAAAGTTGCTTTTGATAGAGCAGTTTTGAAACACTGCTTTTGTAGAATCTGCTTGTTGCTATTGGGGGCTCTTTGAGGAATTTGTTGTAAACGGGATATCTTCACATACAAACTAGACAGAAGCATTCTCAGAAACTGCTCTGTGATGTGTGCATTCAACTCACAGAGTTGAACCTTCCTTTTGCGAGAGCTGTTTTGAAGCAGTCTTTTTGTGGTATCTGCAATTGGATATTTGGATCGATTTGAGGCCTAAGATGGAAAAGGAAATATCTTCACATACAAACTAGACAGAAGCATTCTCAGACACTGCGTTGTGATGTGTGCATTCAACTCACAGAGTTGAACCTTCCTTTTGAGAGCAGTTTTGAAACAGTCTTTTTGAAGTATCTGCAAGTGGATGTTTGGAGAGATTTGAGGCCTAAGATGGAAAAGGATATATCTTCACCTAAAAACTAGGCAGAAGCATTCTCAGAAACTGCTTTGTGATGTGGGGATTCAACTCACAGGCTTGAAACTTTCTTTTGATACAGCAGGGTTCAAACACACTTTTTGTAGAATCTGCAAGTGTTCATTTGGAGTGCTTTCTTGCCCATGGTGGAAAAAGAAATATCTTCACCTGAAAACTAGACAGAAACATTCTCAGAAAATACTTTGTGATGTGGTTGTTCAATTCACAGGGTTGAACCTTTCTTTAGATAAAGCAGTTTTGAAACACTGCTTTTGTAGAATCTTCTTGTGGATATTTGGAGCTGTTTGAGGAATTCGTTTTAAACGGGATATCTTCACATTCAAACTAGTCAGAAGCATTCTCAGAAACTGGTTTGTGATGTGTGCATTCTACTCACAGAGTTGAACCTTCCTTTTGAGAGAGCAGTTTTGAAACAATCTTTTTGTATTCTCTACAAGTGGATACTTGGAGCAATGGGAGGACTAAGATTGAAAAGGAAATATCTTCACGGCCAAACTTGACAGAAGCTTTCTCAGAATCTGCTTTGTGATGTGTGCATTTACCTCACAGAGTGGAACCGTCCTTTTGATAGAGCAGTTCTGAAACAGTCTTTTTGTAGGATCTGCGAGTGTTCATTTTGGAGCGCTTTTAAGCCTTTGGCGGAAAAGGAAATATCTTCACAAAAAAACTAGACAGAGGCATGCTCAGGAACTTCACTGAGATGTGTGCATTCAAGTAACTGAGTTGAATCTGCCTTTTGATAGAGCAGAATTGAAACACTCCTTTTGTAGAATCTGCTTGTGGATATTTGGAACTCTTTCAGGAGTTCGTTGGCAGCTGGTATCTTCACAAAAAAAGGAGACCCAAGGATTCTCAAAAAGTTCCTTGAGATGTGTGCCTTAAACTCACAGACTTCAAACTTTCTTTTGAGAGATCAGTGTTGGAACACGCTTTTTGTAGAATCTGCAAGTGTTCATTTAGTGCGCTTTGTTGCCTATGGTGGAAAAAGAAATATCTTCAAATGAAAACTAGACAGAAACATTCTCAGAAACTCCTTTGTGAAGTGTGTGTCAAATTCACAGAATTGAAATATTCCTTTGATAGCGCAGCTTTGAAACACCGCTTTTATAGGATCTGCTTGTGGATATCTGGAGCTCTTTGAGGAATTTGTTGTAAACGGGATATCTTCACATACAAAGTAGACAGAAGCATTCTCAGAAACTGCTTTGTGATGTGTGCATTCCAATCACAGACTTCAACCTTTCTTTTGAAAGAGCAGTGTTCAAACACACATTTTGTAGCCTGTGCAAGTGTTCACTTGGAGCACTTTTTTGCCTATGGTGGAAAAAGAAATATCTTCACATAAATACTAGACAGAAGCATTCTCAGAAACTCCTTTGTGATGTGTTTGTTCTATTCAGAGAGTTGAACCTTTCTTTTGATAGAGCAGAATTGAAACACTCCTTTTGTAGAATCTGCTTGTGGATATTTGGAGCTCTTTGAGGAATTCGTTGTAAAAGGGATATCTTCACATACAAACTAGACAGAAGCATTCTCAGAAACTGCCTTGTGGTGTGTGCATTCAACTCACATAGGTGAACCTTCCTTCTGAGAGAGCAGTTTTTAAACAGTCTCTTTGAAATAACTGCAAGTGGATATTTGGAGCGATGGGAAGTCTAAGATTGAAAAGGAAATATCCTCACATACAAACTAGACAGAAGCAATCTCATTAACTGCTTTGTGATGTGTGCATTCAGCTCACAGAGTTGAACCTTCCTTTTGAGAGAGCAGTTTTGAAACAGTTTTTTGTAGTATCCTCAAGTGGATATATGGAGCGATGTGAGGCTTAAGATGGAAACGGGAATATCTTCACATACAAACTAGATAGAAGCATTCTCAGAAACTGCTTTGTGATGGGTGCATTCAACTCAGAGACTTGAACATTTCTTTAGACGGAGCAGTTTGAAACACACATTTGTAGAATCTGCAAGAGTTCATTTGGAGCGCTTTGATGCCTATGGTGGAAAAAGAAATATCTTCACATAAGCACTACAAAGAAGCGTTCTCCGAAACTCCTTTGTGATATGTGTGTTCAATTCACAGAGTTGAACCTTTCTTTTCATTGAGCAGTTTTGAAAAACTGCTTTTCTAGAATCTGCTTGTGGATATTTGGAGCTCTTTGAGGAATTCATTGTCAATGGGATATCTTCATATACAAACTAGCCAGAAGCATTCTCAGAAACTGCTTTGTGATGTGTGCATTCAACACACGGAGTTGAACCTTCCTTCTGAGAGAACAGTTTTCAAACAGTCTTTTTGTAGTATCTGCAAGTCGCTATTTGGAACGCTATGAGGCCTATGAGGGAAAAGGAACTATCTTCACATACAAACTAGACAGAAGCATGCTCAGAAACTGCTTTGTGATGTGTGTGTTCAATTCACAGGGTTGACTCTTTCTTTTGATTGAGCAGTTTTGAACAACCTGTTTTGTAGAATCTGCTTGTGGATATTTGTAGCTCTTGGAAGAATTCATTGTAAAAGGGATATCTTCACATACACACAAGTCAGAAGCATTCTCAGAAACTTCTTTGTGATTGTGAATTGAACTCACAGAGTTGATCCTTCCTTCTGAGAGAGCCGTTTTGAAACAATCTTTTTGAAGTATCTTCAATTGGATACTTGTAGTGATTTGAGGCCTAAGATGGAAAAGGAAATATCTTCACATACAATCTAGACAGAAGCACTCTCAGAAGCTGCTTGGTGATGTCTGCATTCAACTCACAGACTTTAACCCTTGTTTTGAAAGAGCAGTGTTGAAACACACATTTTGTAGGATCTGCAAGTGTTCATTTGGAGAGCTTTTGTGCCTATGGTGGAAAAAGCAATATCTTCACATAAATACTAGACAGAAGCATTCTCAGAAACTGCTTTGTGATGTGTGCATTCAACTCACAGAGTTGAACCTTCCTTTTGAGAGAGAGATTTTGAAACAGTCTTTTTGTAGTATCTGCAAGTGGATATTTTTAGTGATTTGAGGTGTAAGATGGAAAAGGAAATACCTTCACCTACAAACTAGACAGAAGCATTCTCAGAAACTGCTTTGTGATGTGTGCATTAAACTTACAGACTTGAAACTTTATTTTGATAGAGCAGTGTTGAAACACACTTTTTATAGAATCTGCAAGTGTTCATTTGGAGAGCTTTGTTGCCTGTGGTGGAAAAAGGAATATGTTCACCTAGAAACTAGAAAGAAGCCTTCTCAGAAACTCCTTTGAGATGTTTGTGTCCAATTCACAAAGTTGAACCTTTCTTTTGATAGAGCAGATTTGAAACACTGCTTTTGTAGAATCTGCTTGCGGATATTTGGCGGTCTTTTAGGAATTGGGCGTATACGGGAGATCTTCACATACAAGTTACACAGAAGCATTCTCAGAAACTGCTTTGTGATGTGTGCATTCAACTCACAGAGTTGAAACTTTCTTTTGAGAAAGCAGTTTTGAAACAGTCTTTTTGTAGTATCTGCAAGTGGATATTTGGAGCGATTTGAGGCCTATGATGGAAAAGGAAATACGTTCATATAAAAACTAGACAGAAGCGTTCTGAGAAACTGCTTTGTGATGTGTGCATTCACCTCACAGAGTGGAACCTTTCTTTGGATAGAGCAGTTTTGAAACAGTCTTTCTCTAGTATCTGCAAGTGTTCATTTTGAGCGCTTTGAGGCCCATGATGGAAAAGGAAATATTTTCACATAAAAACTAGACAGAAGCTTTCTCAGGAACTTCATTGAGATGTGTGCATTAAAGTAACTGAGTTGAATACGTCTTTTGATAGAGCAGTATTGAAACACTTCTTTTGTAGAATCTGCCTGTGGATATCTGGAACTCTTTGAAGAATTCTTTGGAAACGGCTATCTTCACATAAAAAGTAGACCCAAGCATTCACAGAACGTTCTTTGTGACATGTACATTGGACTCCCAGACTTGAACCTTTCTTTTGATAGAGCAGTGTTGGAACACACTTTTTGTAGAATCTTCATGTGTTCGTTTGGAGTGCTCTGTTGCCTATGGTGGAAAAAGGAATATCTTCACCTAAAAACCAGACAGAAGCATTCTCAGAGACTGCTTTGTGATGTGTGTGTTCAATTCGCAGAGTTGAAAGTTGCTTTTGATAGAGCAGTTTTGAAACACTGCTTTTGTAGAATCTGCTTGTTGCTATTGGGGGCTCTTTGAGGAATTTGTTGTAAACGGGATATCTTCACATACAAAGTAGACAGAAGCATTCTCAGAAACTGCTCTGTGATGTGTGCATTCAACTCACAGAGTTGAACCTTCCTTTTGCGAGAGCTGTTTTGAAGCAGTCTTTTTGTGGTATCTGCAATTGGATATTTGGATCGATTTGAGGCCTAAGATGGAAAAGGAAATATCTCCACATACAAACTAGACAGAAGCATTCTCAGACACTGCGTTGTGATGTGTGCATTCAACTCACAGAGTTGAACCTTCCTTTTGAGAGCAGTTTTGAAACAGTCTTTTTGAAGTATCTGCAAGTGGATGTTTGGAGAGATTTGAGGCCTAAGATGGAAAAGGATATATCTTCACCTAAAAACTAGGCAGAAGCATTCTCAGAAACTGCTTTGTGATGTGGGGATTCAACTCACAGGCTTGAAACTTTCTTTTGATAGAGCAGGGTTCAAACACACTTTTTGTAGAATCTGCAAGTGTTCATTTGGAGTGCTTTCTTGCCCATGGTGGAAAAAGAAATATCTTCACGTAAAAACTAGACAGAAACATTCTCAGAAAATACTTTGTGATGTGGTTGTTCAATTCACAGGGTTGAACCTTTCTTTAGATAAAGCAGTTTTGAAACACTGCTTTTGTAGAATCTTCTTGTGGATATTTGGAGCTGTTTGAGGAATTCGTTTTAAACGGGATATCTTCACATTCAAACTAGTCAGAAGCATTCTCAGAAACTGGTTTGTGATGTGTGCATTCTACTCACAGAGTTGAACCTTCCTTTTGAGAGAGCAGTTTTGAAACAATCTTTTTGTATTCTCTACAAGTGGATACTTGGAGCAATGGGAGGACTAAGATTGAAAAGGAAATATCTTCACGGCCAAACTTGACAGAAGCTTTCTCAGAATCTGCTTTGTGATGTGTGCATTTACCTCACAGAGTGGAACCGTCCTTTTGATAGAGCAGTTCTGAAACAGTCTTTTTGTAGGATCTGCGAGTGTTCATTTTGGAGCGCTTTTAAGCCTTTGGCGGAAAAGGAAATATCTTCACAAAAAAACTAGACAGAGGCATGCTCAGGAACTTCACTGAGATGTGTGCATTCAAGTAACTGAGTTGAATCTGCCTTTTGATAGAGCAGAATTGAAACACTCCTTTTGTAGAATCTGCTTGTGGATATTTGGAACTCTTTCAGGAGTTCGTTGGCAGCTGGTATCTTCACAAAAAAAGGAGACCCAAGGATTCTCAAAAAGTTCCTTGAGATGTGTGCCTTAAACTCACAGACTTCAAACTTTCTTTTGAGAGATCAGTGTTGGAACACGCTTTTTGTAGAATCTGCAAGTGTTCATTTAGTGCGCTTTGTTGCCTATGGTGGAAAAAGAAATATCTTCAAATGAAAACTAGACAGAAACATTCTCAGAAACTCCTTTGTGAAGTGTGTGTCAAATTCACAGAATTGAAATATTCCTTTGATAGCGCAGCTTTGAAACACCGCTTTTATAGGATCTGCTTGTGGATATCTGGAGCTCTTTGAGGAATTTGTTGTAAACGGGATATCTTCACATACAAAGTAGACAGAAACATTCTCAGAAACTGCTTTGTGATGTGCGCATTCAACTCACAGACTTGCACCTTTCTCTTGAAAGAGCAGTGTTGAAACATACATTTTCTAGGATGTGCAAGTGTTCACTTGGAGCGCTTTTTTGCCTATGGTGGAAAAAGAAATATCTTCACATAAATACTAGACAGAAGCATTCTCAGAAACTCCTTTGTGATGTGTTTGTTCTATTCAGAAGTGTTGAACCTTTATTTTGATAGAGCAGAATTGAAACACTCCTTTTGTAGAATCTGCTTGTGGATATTTGGAGCTCTTTGAGGAATTCGTTGTAAACGGGATATCTTCACATACAAACTAGACAGCAGCATTCTCAGAAACTGCCTTGTGGTGTGTGCATTCAACTCACATAGGTGAACCTTCCTTCTGAGAGAGCAGTTTTTAAACAGTCTCTTTGAAATAACTGCAAGTGGATATTTGGAGCGATGGGAAGTCTAAGATTGAAAAGGAAATATCCTCACATACAAACTAGACAGAAGCAATCTCATTAACTGCTTTGTGATGTGTGCATTCAGCTCACAGAGTTGAACCTTCCTTTTGAGAGAGCAGTTTTGAAACAGTTTTTTGTAGTATCCTCAAGTGGATATATGGAGCGATGTGAGGCTTAAGATGGAAACGGGAATATCTTCACATACAAACTAGATAGAAGCATTCTCAGAAACTGCTTTGTGATGGGTGCATTCAACTCAGAGACTTGAACATTTCTTTAGACGGAGCAGTTTGAAACACACATTTGTAGAATCTGCAAGAGTTCATTTGGAGCGCTTTGATGCCTATGGTGGAAAAAGAAATATCTTCACATAAGCACTACAAAGAAGCGTTCTCCGAAACTCCTTTGTGATATATGTGTTCAGTTCACAGAGTTGAACCTTTCTTTTGATTGAGCAGTTTTGAAACACTGCTTTTCTAGAATCTGCTTTTGGATATTTGAAGCTCTTTGACGAATTCGCTGTCAATGTTATATCTTCACATACAAACTAGACAGAAGCATTCTCAGAAACTGCTTTTTGATGTGTGCATTCAACACACGGAGTTGAACCTTCCTTCTGAGAACAGTTTTGAAGCAGTCTTTTTGTGGTATCTGCAAGTCGATATTTGGAACGATTTGGGACCTATGAGGGAAAAGGAACTATCTTCACATACAAGCTAGACAGAAGCATTCTCAGAAACTGCTTTGTGATGTGTGCATTCAACACACGGAGTTGAACCTTCCTTCTGAGAGAACGGTTTTCAAACAGTCTTTTTGTAGTATCTGCAAGTCGATATTTGGAACGATTTGAGGCCTATGAGGGAAAAGGAACTATCTTCACATACAAACTAGACAGAAGCATGCTCAGAAACTGCTGTGTGATGTGTGCATTCAACTCACAGAGTTGAACCTTCCTTTTGAGAGAGACGTTTTGAAACAGTCTTTTTGTAGTATGTACAGGTGGATATTTTTGGTGATTTGAGGTCTAAGATGGAAAAGGAAATACCTTCACCTACAAACTAGACAGAAGCATTCTCAGAAACTGCTTTGTGATGTGTGCATTAAACTTACAGACTTGAAACCTTATTTTGATAGAGCAGTGTTGAAACACACTTTTTATAGAATCTGCAAGTCTTCATTTGGAGAGCTTTGTTGCCTGTGGTGGAAAAAGAAATGTGTTCACATACAAACTAGAAAGAAGCCTTCTCAGAAACTCCTTTGAGATGTTTGTGTCTAATTCACAAAGTTGAACCTTTCTTTTGGTAGAGCAGATTTGAAACACTGCTTTTGTAGAATCTGCTTGCGTGTATTAGGAGGTCTTTGAGGAATTGGGCGTATACGGGATATCTTCACATACAAATTACACAGAAGCATTCTCAGAAACTGCTCTGTGATGTGTGCATTCAACTAACAGAGTTGAAACTTTCTTTGGAGAAAGCAGTTCTGAAACAGTCTTTTTGTAGTATCTGCAAGTGGATACTTGGAGCGATTTGAGGCCTATGATGGAAAAGGAAATATGTTCACTTACAAACTAGACAGAAGCATTCTCAGAAACTGCTTTGTGATGTGTGTGTTCAATTCACAGGGTTGACTCTTTCTTTTGATTGAGCAGTTTTGAACCACCTGTTTTGTAGAATCTGCTTGTGGATATTTGTAGCTCTTGGAGGAATTCTTTGTAAAAGGGATATCTTCACATACACACTAGTCAGAAGCATTCTCAGAAACTTCTTTGTGATGTGTGAATTGAACTCACAGAGTTGAACCTTCCTTTTGAGAGAGCCGTTTTGAAACAATCTTTTTGAAGTATCTTCAATTGGATGTTTGTAGTGATTTGAGGCCTAAGATGGAATAGGAAATATCTTCACATACAATCTAGACAGAAGCACTCTCAGAAGCTGCTTGGTGATGTCTGCATTCAACTCACAGACTTGAACCCTTGTTTTGAAAGAGCAGTGTTGAAACACACATTTTGTACGATCTGCAAGTGTTCATTTGGAACGCTGTTGTGCCTATGGTGGATAAAGCAATATCTTCACATAAATACTAGAAAGTAGCATTCTCAGAAACTGCTTTGTGATGTGTGCATTCAACTCACAGAGTTGCACCTTCCTTTTGAGAGAGAGGTTTTGAAACAGTCTTTTTGTAGTATCTGCAAGTGGATATTTTTAGTGATTTGAGGTCTAAGATGGAAAAGGAAATACCTTCACCTACAAACTAGACAGAAGCATTCTCAGAAACTGCTTTGTGATGTGTGCATTAAACTTACAGACTTGAAACTTTATTTTGATAGAGCAGTGTTGAAACACACTTTTTATAGAATCTGCAAGTGTTCATTTGGAGAGCTTTGTTGCCTGTGGTGGAAAAAGGAATATGTTCACCTAGAAACTAGAAAGAAGCCTTCTCAGAAACTCCTTTGAGATGTTTGTGTCCAATTCACAAAGTTGAACCTTTCTTTTGATAGAGCAGATTTGAAACACTGCTTTTGTAGAATCTGCTTGCGGATATTTGGCGGTCTTTTAGGAATTGGGCGTATACGGGAGATCTTCACATACAAGTTACACAGAAGCATTCTCAGAAACTGCTTTGTGATGTGTGCATTCAACTCACAGAGTTGAAACTTTCTTTTGAGAAAGCAGTTTTGAAACAGTCTTTTTGTAGTATCTGCAAGTGGATATTTGGAGCGATTTGAGGCCTATGATGGAAAAGGAAATATGTTCACATACAAACTAGACAGAAGCGTTCTGAGAAACTGCTTTGTGATGTGTGCATTCACCTCACAGAGTGGAACCTTTCTTTGGATAGAGCAGTTTTGAAACAGTCTTTCTCTAGTATCTGCAAGTGTTCATTTTGAGCGCTTTGAGGCCCATGATGGAAAAGGAAATATTTTCACATAAAAACTAGACAGAAGCTTTCTCAGGAACTTCATTGAGATGTGTGCATTAAAGTAACTGAGTTGAATACGTCTTTTGATAGAGCAGTATTGAAACACTTCTTTTGTAGAATCTGCCTGTGGATATCTGGAACTCTTTGAAGAATTCTTTGGAAACGGCTATCTTCACATAAAAAGTAGACCCAAGCATTCTCAGAAAGTTCTTTGTGATATGTACATTGGACTCCCAGACTTGAACCTTTCTTTTGATACAGCAGTGTTGGAACACACATTTGTAGAATCTTCATATGTTCGTTTGGAGTGCTCTGTTGCCTATGGTGGAAAAAGGAATATCTTCACCTAAAAACCAGACAGAAGCATTCTCAGAGACTGCTTTGTGATGTGTGTGTTCAATTCGCAGAGTTGGAAGTTCCTTTTGATAGAGCAGTTTTGAAACACTGCTTTTGTAGAATCTGCTTGTTGCTATTGGGGGCTCTTTGAGGAATTTGTTGTAAACGGGATATCCTTCACATACAAACTAGACAGAAGCATTCTCAGAAACTGCTCTGTGATGTGTGCATTCAACTCACAGAGTTGAACCTTCCTTTTGTGAGAGCTGTTTTGAAGCAGTCTTTTTCTGGTACCTGCAATTGGATATTTGGATCGATTTGAGGCCTAAGATGGAAAAGGAAATATCTTCACATACAAACTAGACAGAAGCATTCTCAGACACTGCGTTGTGATGTGTGCATTCAACTCACAGAGTTGAACCTTCCTTTTGAGAGCAGTTTTGAAACAGTCTTTTTGAAGTATCTGCAAGTGGATGTTTGGAGAGATTTGAGGCCTAAGATGGAAAAGGATATATCTTCACCTAAAAACTAGGCAGAAGCATTCTCAGAAACTGCTTTGTGATGTGGGGATTCAACTCACAGGCTTGAAACTTTCTTTTGATAGAGCAGGGTTGAAACACACTTTTTGTAGAATCTGCAAGTGTTCATTTGGAGTGCTTTCTTGCCCATGGTGGAAAAAGAAATATCTTCACGTAAAAACTAGACAGAAACATTCTCAGAAAATACTTTGTGATGTGGTTGTTCAATTCACAGGGTTGAACCTTTCTTTAGATAAAGCAGTTTTGAAACACTGCTTTTGTAGAATCTTCTTGTGGATATTTGGAGCTGTTTGAGGAATTCGTTTTAAACGGGATATCTTCACATTCAAACTAGTCAGAAGCATTCTCAGAAACTGGTTTGTGATGTGTGCATTCTACTCACAGAGTTGAACCTTCCTTTTGAGAGAGCAGTTTTGAAACAATCTTTTTGTATTCTCTACAAGTGGATACTTGGAGCAATGGGAGGACTAAGATTGAAAAGGAAATATCTTCACGGCCAAACTTGACAGAAGCTTTCTCAGAATCTGCTTTGTGATGTGTGCATTTACCTCACAGAGTGGAACCGTCCTTTTGATAGAGCAGTTCTGAAACAGTCTTTTTGTAGGATCTGCGAGTGTTCATTTTGGAGCGCTTTTAAGCCTTTGGCGGAAAAGGAAATATCTTCACAAAAAAACTAGACAGAGGCATGCTCAGGAACTTCACTGAGATGTGTGCATTCAAGTAACTGAGTTGAATCTGCCTTTTGATAGAGCAGAATTGAAACACTCCTTTTGTAGAATCTGCTTGTGGATATTTGGAACTCTTTCAGGAGTTCATTGGCAGCTGGTATCTTCACAAAAAAAGGAGACCCAAGGATTCTCAAAAAGTTCCTTGAGATGTGTGCCTTAAACTCACAGACTTCAAACTTTCTTTTGAGAGATCAGTGTTGGAACACGCTTTTTGTAGAATCTGCAAGTGTTCATTTAGTGCGCTTTGTTGCCTATGGTGGAAAAAGAAATATCTTCAAATGAAAACTAGACAGAAACATTCTCAGAAACTCCTTTGTGAAGTGTGTGTCAAATTCACAGAATTGAAATATTCCTTTGATAGCGCAGCTTTGAAACACCGCTTTTATAGGATCTGCTTGTGGATATCTGGAGCTCTTTGAGGAATTTGTTGTAAACGGGATATCTTCACATACAAAGTAGACAGAAGCATTCTCAGAAACTGCTTTGTGATGTGTGCATTCCAATCACAGACTTCAACCTTTCTTTTGAAAGAGCAGTGTTCAAACACACATTTTGTAGGATGTGCAAGTGTTCACTTGGAGCGCTTTTTTGCCTATGGTGGAAAAAGAAATATCTTCACATAAATACTAGACAGAAGCATTCTCAGAAACGCCTTAGTGATGTGTTTGTTCTATTCAGAGAGTTGAACCTTTCTTTTGATAGAGCAGTTTTGATACACTGCTTCTGTAGAATCTGCTTGTGGATATTTGGAGCTCTTTGAGGAATTCGTTGTAAACGGGATATCTTCACATACAAACTAGACAGAAGCATTCTCAGAAACTGCTTTGTGGTGTGTGCATTCAACTCACAGAGTTGAACCTTCCTTCTGAGAGAGCAGTTTTTAAACAGTCTCTTTGAAATATCTGCAAGTGGATATTTGGAGCGATGGGAAGTCTAAGTTTGAAAAGGAAATATCCTCACATACAAACTAGACAGAAGCAATCTCATTAACTGCTTTGCGATGTGTGCATTCAGCTCACAGAGTTGAACCTTCCTTTTGAGAGAGCAGTTTTGAAACAGTTTTTTGTAGTATCCTCAAGTGGATATATGGAGCGATGTGAGGCTTAAGATGGAAACGGGAATATCTTCACATGCAAACTAGAAAGAAGCATTCTCAGAAACTGCTTTGTGATGGGTGCATTCAACTCAGAGACTTGAACATTTCTTTAGACGGAGCAGTGTTGAAACACACATATGCAGAATCTGCAAGAGTTCATTTGGAGCGCTTTGATGCCTATGGTGGAAAAAGAAATATCTTCACATAAAGACTAGAAAGAAGCGTTCTCCGAAACTCCTTTGTGATATATGTGTTCAGTTCACAGAGTTGAACCTTTCTTTTGATTGAGCAGTTTTGAAACACTGCTTTTCTAGAATCTGCTTTTGGATATTTGAAGCTCTTTGAACGAATTCGCTGTCAATGTTATATCTTCACATACAAACTAGACAGAAGCATTCTCAGAAACTGCTTTTTGATGTGTGCATTCAACACACGGAGTTGAACCTTCCTTCTGAGAACAGTTTTGAAGCAGTCTTTTTGTGGTATCTGCAAGTCGATATTTGGAACGATTTGGGACCTATGAGGGAAAAGGAACTATCTTCACATACAAGCTAGACAGAAGCATACTCAGAAACTGCTTTGTGATGTGTGCATTCAACTCACAGAGTTGAGCCTTCCTTTTGAGAGAGAGGTTTTGAAACAGTCTTTTTGTAGTATATACAAGTGGATATTTTTAGTGATTTGAGGTCTAATATGGAAAAGGAAATACCTTCACCTACAAACTAGACAGAAGCATTCTCAGAAACTGCTTTGTGATGTGTGCATTAAACTTACAGACTTGAAACTTTATTTTGATAGAGCAGTGTTGAAACACACTTTTTATAGAATCTGCAAGTGTTCATTTGGAGAGCTTTGTTGCCTGTGGTGGAAAAAGGAATATGTTCACCTAGAAACTAGAAAGAAGCCTTCTCAGAAACTCCTTTGAGATGTTTGTGTCCAATTCACAAAGTTGAACCTTTCTTTTGATAGAGCAGATTTGAAACACTGCTTTTGTAGAATCTGCTTGCGGATATTTGGCGGTCTTTTAGGAATTGGGCGTATACGGGAGATCTTCACATACAAGTTACACAGAAGCATTGTCAGAAACTGCTTTGTGCTGTGTGCATTCAACTCACAGAGTTGAAACTTTCTTTTGAGAAAGCAGTTCCGAAACAGTCTTTTTGTAGTATCTGCAAGTGGATATTTGGAGCGATTTGAGGCCTATGATGGAAAAGGAAATATGTTCACATACAAACTAGACAGAAAGCGTTCTCAGAAACTGCTTTGTGATGTGTGCATTCACCTCACAGAGTGGAACCGTTCTTTGGATAGAGCAGTTTTGAAACAGTCTTTCTCTAGTATCTGCAAGTGTTCATTTTGAGCGCTTTTAGGCCCATGATGGAATAGGAAATATTTTCACATAAAAAGTAGACAGAAGCTTTCTCAGGAACTTCATTGAGATGTGTGCATTAAAGTAACTGAGTTGAATACGTCTTTTGATAGAGCAGTATTGAAACACTTATTTGTAGAATCTGCCTGTGGATATCTGGAACTCTTTGAAGAATTCTTTGGAAACGGCTATCTTCACATAAAAAGTAGACCCAAGCATTCTCAGAAAGTTCTTTGTGATATGTACATTGGACTCCCAGACTTGAACATTTCTTTTGATAGAGCAGTGTTGGAACACACTTTTTGTAGAATCTTCATGTGTTCGTTTGGAGTGCTTTGTTGCCTATGGTGGAAAAAGGAATATCTTCACCTAAAAACCAGACAGAAGCATTCTCCGAGACTGCTTTGTGATGTGTGTGTTCAATTCGCAGAGTTAAAAGTTCCTTTTGATAGAGCAGTTTTGAAACACTGCTTTTGTAGAATCTGCTTGTTGCTATTGGGGGCTCTTTGAGGAATTTGTTGTAAACGGGATATCTTCACATACAAAGTAGACAGAAGCATTCTCAGAAACTGCTTTGTGATGTGTGCATTCCAATCACAGACTTCAACCTTTCTTTTGAAAGAGCAGTGTTGAAACACACATTTTGTAGCATGTGCAAGTGTTCACTTGGAGCTCTTTTTTGCCTATGGTGGAAAAAGAAATATCTTCACATAAATACTAGACAGAAGCATTCTCAGAAACTCCTTTTTGATGTGTTTGTTCTATTCAGAGAGTTGAACCTTTCTTTTGATAGAGCAGTTTTGATACACTGCTTCTGTAGAATCTGCTTGTGGATATTTGGAGCTCTTTGAGGAATTCGTTGTAAACGGGATATCTTCGCATACAAACTAGACAGCAGCATTCTCAGAAACTGCTTTGTGGTGTGTGCATTCAACTCACAGAGTTGAACCTTCCTTCTGAGAGAGCAGTTTTTAAACAGTCTCTTTGAAATATCTGCAAGTGGATATTTGGAGCGATGGGAAGTCTAAGTTTGAAAAGGAAATATCCTCACATACAAACTAGACAGAAGCAATCTCATTAACTGCTTTGCGATGTGTGCATTCAGCTCACAGAGTTGAACCTTCCTTTTGAGAGAGCAGTTTTGAAACAGTTTTTTGTAGTATCCTCAAGTGGATATATGGAGCGATGTGAGGCTTAAGATGGAAACGGGAATATCTTCACATGCAAACTAGAAAGAAGCATTCTCAGAAACTGCTTTGTGATGGGTGCATTCAACTCAGAGACTTGAACATTTCTTTAGACGGAGCAGTGTTGAAACACACATATGCAGAATCTGCAAGAGTTCATTTGGAGCGCTTTGATGCCTATGGTGGAAAAAGAAATATCTTCACATAAAGACTAGAAAGAAGCGTTCTCCGAAACTCCTTTGTGATATATGTGTTCAGTTCACAGAGTTGAACCTTTCTTTTGATTGAGCAGTTTTGAAACACTGCTTTTCTAGAATCTGCTTTTGGATATTTGAAGCTCTTTGACGAATTCGCTGTCAATGTTATATCTTCACATACAAACTAGACAGAAGCATTCTCAGAAACTGCTTTTTGATGTGTGCATTCAACACACGGAGTTGAACCTTCCTTCTGAGAACAGTTTTGAAGCAGTCTTTTTGTGGTATCTGCAAGTCGATATTTGGAACGATTTGGGACCTATGAGGGAAAAGGAACTATCTTCACGTACAAGCTAGACAGAAGCATTCTCAGAAACTGCTTTGTGATGTGTGCATTCAACACACGGAGTTGAACCTTCCTTCTGAGAGAACGGTTTTCAAACAGTCTTTTTGTAGTATCTGCAAGTCGATATTTGGAACGATTTGAGGCCTATGAGGGAAAAGGAACTATCTTCACATACAAACTAGACAGAAGCATGCTCAGAAACTGCTGTGTGATGTGTGCATTCAACTCACAGAGTTGAACCTTCCTTTTGAGAGAGACGTTTTGAAACAGTCTTTTTGTAGTATGTACAGGTGGATATTTTTGGTGATTTGAGGTCTAAGATGGAAAAGGAAATACCTTCACCTACAAACTAGACAGAAGCATTCTCAGAAACTGCTTTGTGATGTGTGCATTAAACTTACAGACTTGAAACCTTATTTTGATATAGCAGTGTTGAAACACACTTTTTATAGAACCTGCAAGTGTTCATTTGGAGAGCTTTGTTGCCTGTGGTGGAAAAAGAAATGTGTTCACATACAAACTAGAAAGAAGCCTTCTCAGAAACTCCTTTGAGATGTTTGTGTCTAATTCACAAAGTTGAACCTTTCTTTTGATAGAGCAGATTTGAAACACTGCTTTTGTAGAATCTGCTTGCGTGTATTTGGAGGTCTTTGAGGAATTGGGCGTATACGGGATATCTTCACATACAAATTACACAGAAGCATTCTCAGAAACTGCTCTGTGATGTGTGCATTCAACTAACAGAGTTGAAACTTTCTTTGGAGAAAGCAGTTCTGAAACAGTCTTTTTGTAGTATCTGCAAGTGGATACTTGGAGCGATTTGAGGCCTATGATGGAAAAGGAAATATGTTCACTTACAAACTAGACAGAAGCATTCTCAGAAACTGCTTTGTGATGTGTGTGTTCAATTCACAGGGTTGACTCTTTCTTTTGATTGAGCAGTTTTGAACCACCTGTTTTGTAGAATCTGCTTGTGGATATTTGTAGCTCTTAGAGGAATTCTTTGTAAAAGGGATATCTTCACATACACACTAGTCAGAAGCATTCTCAGAAACTTCTTTGTGATGTGTGAATTGAACTCACAGAGTTGAACCTTCCTTTTGAGAGAGCCGTTTTGAAACAATCTTTTTGAAGTATCTTCAATTGGATGTTTGTAGTGATTTGAGGCCTAAGATGGAATAGGAAATATCTTCACATACAATCTAGACAGAAGCACTCTCAGAAGCTGCTTGGTGATGTCTGCATTCAACTCACAGACTTGAACCCTTGTTTTGAAAGAGCAGTGTTGAAACACACATTTTGTACGATCTGCAAGTGTTCATTTGGAACGCTGTTGTGCCTATGGTGGATAAAGAAATATCTTCACATAAATACTAGAAAGTAGCATTCTCAGAAACTGCTTTGTGATGTGTGCATTCAACTCACAGAGTTGCACCCTCCTTTTGAGAGAGAGGTTTTGAAACAGTCTTTTTGTAGTATCTGCAAGTGGATATTTTTAGTGATTTGAGGTCTAAGATGGAAAAGGAAATACCTTCACCTACAAACTAGACAGAAGCATTCTCAGAAACTGCTTTGTGATGTGTGCATTAAACTTACAGACTTGAAACTTTATTTTGATAGAGCAGTGTTGAAACACACTTTTTATAGAATCTGCAAGTGTTCATTTGGAGAGCTTTGTTGCCTGTGGTGGAAAAAGGAATATGTTCACCTAGAAACTAGAAAGAAGCCTTCTCAGAAACTCCTTTGAGATGTTTGTGTCCAATTCACAAAGTTGAACCTTTCTTTTGATAGAGCAGATTTGAAACACTGCTTTTGTAGAATCTGCTTGCGGATATTTGGCGGTCTTTTAGGAATTGGGCGTATACGGGAGATCTTCACATACAAGTTACACAGAAGCATTGTCAGAAACTGCTTTGTGCTGTGTGCATTCAACTCACAGAGTTGAAACTTTCTTTTGAGAAAGCAGTTCCGAAACAGTCTTTTTGTAGTATCTGCAAGTGGATATTTGGAGCGATTTGAGGCCTATGATGGAAAAGGAAATATGTTCACATACAAACTAGACAGAAGCGTTCTCAGAAACTGCTTTGTGATGTGTGCATTCACCTCACAGAGTGGAACCGTTCTTTGGATAGAGCAGTTTTGAAACAGTCTTTCTCTAGTATCTGCAAGTGTTCATTTTGAGCGCTTTGAGGCCCATGATGGAAAAGGAAATATTTTCACATAAAAACTAGACAGAAGCTTTCTCAGGAACTTCATTGAGATGTGTGCATTAAAGTAACTGAGTTGAATACGTCTTTTGATAGAGCAGTATTGAAACACTTCTTTTGTAGAATCTGCCTGTGGATATCTGGAACTCTTTGAAGAATTATTTGGAAACGGCTATCTTCACATAAAAAGTAGACCCAAGAATTCTCAGAAATTTCTTTGTGAGGACTGCATACAACTCACAGACTGGAACTTTCTTTTGATAGAGCAGTGTTGAAAGACACTTTATGTACAATCTGCAAGTGTTCATTTAGAGCGCTTTGTTGCCAATGGTAAAAAAAGAAATACCTTCACATAAAAACTAGACAGAAGCATTCTCAGAGACTGCTTTGTGATGTGTGTGTTCAATTCGCTGAGTTGAATGTTCCTTTTGATAGAGCAGTTTTGAAACACTGCTTTTGTAGAATCTGCTTGTTGATATTGGGGGCTCTATGAGGAATTTGTTGTAAACGGGATATCTTCACATACAAAGTAGACAGAAGCATTCTCAGAAACTGCTCTGTGATGTGTACATTCAACTCACAGAGTTGAACCTTCCTTTTGCGAGAGCTGTTTTGAAGCAGTCTTTTTGTGGTATCTGCAATTGGATATTTGGATCGATTTGAGGCCTAAGATGGAAAAGGAAATATCTCCACATACAAACTAGACAGAAGCATTCTCAGACACTGCGTTGTGATGTGTGCATTCAACTCACAGAGTTGAACCTTCCTTTTGAGAGCAGTTTTGAAACAGTCTTTTTGAAGTATCTGCAAGTGGATGTTTGGAGAGATTTGAGGCCTAAGATGGAAAAGGATATATCTTCACCTAAAAACTAGGCAGAAGCATTCTCAGAAACTGCTTTGTGATGTGGGGATTCAACTCACAGGCTTGAAACTTTCTTTTGATAGAGCAGGCTTCAAACACACTTTTTGTAGAATCTGCAAGTGTTCATTTGGAGTGCTTTCTTGCCCATGGTGGAAAAAGAAATATCTTCACGTAAAAACTAGACAGAAACATTCTCAGAAAATACTTTGTGATGTGGTTGTTCAATTCACAGGGTTGAACCTTTCTTTAGATAAAGCAGTTTTGAAACACTGCTTTTGTAGAATCTTCTTGTGGATATTTGGAGCTGTTTGAGGAATTCGTTTTAAACGGGATATCTTCACATTCAAACTAGTCAGAAGCATTCTCAGAAACTGGTTTGTGATGTGTGCATTCTACTCACAGAGTTGAACCTTCCTTTTGAGAGAGCAGTTTTGAAACAATCTTTTTGTATTCTCTACAAGTGGATACTTGGAGCAATGGGAGGACTAAGATTGAAAAGGAAATATCTTCACGGCCAAACTTGACAGAAGCTTTCTCAGAATCTGCTTTGTGATGTGTGCATTTACCTCACAGAGTGGAACCGTCCTTTTGATAGAGCAGTTCTGAAACAGTCTTTTTGTAGGATCTGCGAGTGTTCATTTTGGAGCGCTTTTAAGCCTTTGGCGGAAAAGGAAATATCTTCACAAAAAAACTAGACAGAGGCATGCTCAGGAACTTCACTGAGATGTGTGCATTCAAGTAACTGAGTTGAATCTGCCTTTTGATAGAGCAGAATTGAAACACTCCTTTTGTAGAATCTGCTTGTGGATATTTGGAACTCTTTCAGGAGTTCGTTGGCAGCTGGTATCTTCACAAAAAAAGGAGACCCAAGGATTCTCAAAAAGTTCCTTGAGATGTGTGCCTTAAACTCACAGACTTCAAACTTTCTTTTGAGAGATCAGTGTTGGAACACGCTTTTTGTAGAATCTGCAAGTGTTCATTTAGTGCGCTTTGTTGCCTATGGTGGAAAAAGAAATATCTTCAAATGAAAACTAGACAGAAACATTCTCAGAAACTCCTTTGTGAAGTGTGTGTCAAATTCACAGAATTGAAATATTCCTTTGATAGCGCAGCTTTGAAACACCGCTTTTATAGGATCTGCTTGTGGATATCTGGAGCTCTTTGAGGAATTTGTTGTAAACGGGATATCTTCACATACAAAGTAGACAGAAGCATTCTCAGAAACTGCTTTGTGATGTGTGCATTCCAATCACAGACTTCAACCTTTCTTTTGAAAGAGCAGTGTTCAAACACACATTTTGTAGGATGTGCAAGTGTTCACTTGGAGCGCTTTTTTGCCTATGGTGGAAAAAGAAATATCTTCACATAAATACTAGACAGAAGCATTCTCAGAAACGCCTTAGTGATGTGTTTGTTCTATTCAGAGAGTTGAACCTTTCTTTTGATAGAGCAGTTTTGATACACTGCTTCTGTAGAATCTGCTTGTGGATATTTGGAGCTACTTTGAGGAATTCGTTGTAAACGGGATATCTTCACATACAAACTAGACAGAAGCATTCTCAGAAACTGCTTTGTGGTGTGTGCATTCAACTCACAGAGTTGAACCTTCCTTCTGAGAGAGCAGTTTTTAAACAGTCTCTTTGAAATATCTGCAAGTGGATATTTGGAGCGATGGGAAGTCTAAGTTTGAAAAGGAAATATCCTCACATACAAACTAGACAGAAGCAATCTCATTAACTGCTTTGCGATGTGTGCATTCAGCTCACAGAGTTGAACCTTCCTTTTGAGAGAGCAGTTTTGAAACAGTTTTTTGTAGTATCCTCAAGTGGATATATGGAGCGATGTGAGGCTTAAGATGGAAACGGGAATATCTTCACATGCAAACTAGAAAGAAGCATTCTCAGAAACTGCTTTGTGATGGGTGCATTCAACTCAGAGACTTGAACATTTCTTTAGACAGAGCAGTGTTGAAACACACATATGCAGAATCTGCAAGAGTTCATTTGGAGCGCTTTGATGCCTATGGTGGAAAAAGAAATATCTTCACATAAAGACTAGAAAGAAGCGTTCTCCGAAACTCCTTTGTGATATATGTGTTCAGTTCACAGAGTTGAACCTTTCTTTTGATTGAGCAGTTTTGAAACACTGCTTTTCTAGAATCTGCTTTTGGATATTTGAAGCTCTTTGACGAATTCGCTGTCAATGTTATATCTTCACATACAAACTAGACAGAAGCATTCTCAGAAACTGCTTTTTGATGTGTGCATTCAACACACGGAGTTGAACCTTCCTTCTGAGAACAGTTTTGAAGCAGTCTTTTTGTGGTATCTGCAAGTCGATATTTGGAACGATTTGGGACCTATGAGGGAAAAGGAACTATCTTCACGTACAAGCTAGACAGAAGCATTCTCAGAAACTGCTTTGTGATGTGTGCATTCAACACACGGAGTTGAACCTTCCTTGTGAGAGAAGAGTTTTCAAACAGTCTTTTTGTAGTACCTGCAAGTCGATATTTGGAACGATTTGAGGCCTATGAGGGAAAAGGAACTATTTTCACATACAAACTAGACAGAAGCATGCTCAGAAACTGCTGTGTGATGTGTGCATTCAACTCACAGAGTTGAACCTTCCTTTTGAGAGAGACGTTTTGAAACAGTCTTTTTGTAGTATGTACAGGTGGATATTTTTGGTGATTTGAGGTCTAAGATGGAAAAGGAAATACCTTCACCTACAAACTAGACAGAAGCATTCTCAGAAACTGCTTTGTGATGTGTGCATTAAACTTACAGACTTGAAACCTTATTTTGATAGAGCAGTGTTGAAACACACTTTTTATAGAACCTGCAAGTGTTCATTTGGAGAGCTTTGTTGCCTGTGGTGGAAAAAGAAATGTGTTCACATACAAACTAGAAAGAAGCCTTCTCAGAAACTCCTTTGAGATGTTTGTGTCTAATTCACAAAGTTGAACCTTTCTTTTGATAGAGCAGATTTGCAACACTGCTTTTGTAGAATCTGCTTGCGTGTATTTGGAGGTCTTTGAGGAATTGGGCGTATACGGGATATCTTCACATACAAATTACACAGAAGCATTCTCAGAAACTGCTCTGTGATGTGTGCATTCAACTAACAGAGTTGAAACTTTCTTTGGAGAAAGCAGTTCTGAAACAGTCTTTTTGTAGTATCTGCAAGTGGATACTTGGAGCGATTTGAGGCCTATGATGGAAAAGGAAATATGTTCACTTACAAACTAGACAGAAGCATTCTCAGAAACTGCTTTGTGATGTGTGTGTTCAATTCACAGGGTTGACTCTTTCTTTTGATTGAGCAGTTTTGAACCACCTGTTTTGTAGAATCTGCTTGTGGATATTTGTAGCTCTTGGAGGAATTCTTTGTAAAAGGGATATCTTCACATACACACTAGTCAGAAGCATTCTCAGAAACTTCTTTGTGATGTGTGAATTGAACTCACAGAGTTGAACCTTCCTTTTGAGAGAGCCGTTTTGAAACAATCTTTTTGAAGTATCTTCAATTGGATGTTTGTAGTGATTTGAGGCCTAAGATGGAAGAGGAAATATCTTCACATACAATCTAGACAGAAGCACTCTCAGAAGCTGCTTGGTGATGTCTGCATTCAACTCACAGACTTGAACCCTTGTTTTGAAAGAGCAGTGTTGAAACACACATTTTGTACGATCTGCAAGTGTTCATTTGGAACGCTGTTGTGCCTATGGTGGATAAAGAAATATCTTCACATAAATACTAGAAAGTAGCATTCTCAGAAACTGCTTTGTGATGTGTGCATTCAACTCACAGAGTTGCACCTTCCTTTTGAGAGAGAGGTTTTGAAACAGTCTTTTTGTAGTATCTGCAAGTGGATATTTTTAGTGATTTGAGGTCTAAGATGGAAAAGGAAATACCTTCACCTACAAACTAGACAGAAGCATTCTCAGAAACTGCTTTGTGATGTGTGCATTAAACTTACAGACTTGAAACTTTATTTTGATAGAGCAGTGTTGAAACACACTTTTTATAGAATCTGCAAGTGTTCATTTGGAGAGCTTTGTTGCCTGTGGTGGAAAAAGGAATATGTTCACCTAGAAACTAGAAAGAAGCCTTCTCAGAAACTCCTTTGAGATGTTTGTGTCCAATTCACAAAGTTGAACCTTTCTTTTGATAGAGCAGATTTGAAACACTGCTTTTGTAGAATCTGCTTGCGGATATTTGGCGGTCTTTTAGGAATTGGGCGTATACGGGAGATCTTCACATACAAGTTACACAGAAGCATTCTCAGAAACTGCTTTGTGATGTGTGCATTCAACTCACAGAGTTGAAACTTTCTTTTGAGAAAGCAGTTTTGAAACAGTCTTTTTGTAGTATCTGCAAGTGGATATTTGGAGCGATTTGAGGCCTATGATGGAAAAGGAAATATGTTCACATACAAACTAGACAGAAGCGTTCTGAGAAACTGCTTTGTGATGTGTGCATTCACCTCACAGAGTGGAACCTTTCTTTGGATAGAGCAGTTTTGAAACAGTCTTTCTCTAGTATCTGCAAGTGTTCATTTTGAGCGCTTTGAGGCCCATGATGGAAAAGGAAATATTTTCACATAAAAACTAGACAGAAGCTTTCTCAGGAACTTCATTGAGATGTGTGCATTAAAGTAACTGAGTGGAATACGTCTTTTGATAGAGCAGTATTGAAACACTTCTTTTGTAGAATCTGCCTGTGGATATCTGGAACTCTTTGAAGAATTCTTTGGAAACGGCTATCTTCACATAAAAAGTAGACCCAAGCATTCACAGAACGTTCTTTGTGACATGTACATTGGACTCCCAGACTTGAAACTTTCTTTTGATAGAGCAGTGTTGGAACACACTTTTTGTAGAATCTTCATGTGTTCGTTTGGAGTGCTCTGTTGCCTATGGTGGAAAAAGGAATATCTTCACCTAAAAACCAGACAGAAGCATTCTCAGAGACTGCTTTGTGATGTGTGTGTTCAATTCGCAGAGTTGGAAGTTCCTTTTGATAGAGCAGTTTTGAAACACTGCTTTTGTAGAATCTGCTTGTTGCTATTGGGGGCTCTTTGAGGAATTTGTTGTAAACGGGATATCCTTCACATACAAACTAGACAGAAGCATTCTCAGAAACTGCTCTGTGATGTGTGCATTCAACTCACAGAGTTGAACCTTCCTTTTGCGAGAGCTGTTTTGAAGCAGTCTTTTTGTGGTATCTGCAATTGGATATTTGGATCGATTTGAGGCCTAAGATGGAAAAGGAAATATCTTCACATACAAACTAGACAGAAGCATTCTCAGACACTGCGTTGTGATGTGTGCATTCAACTCACAGACTTGAACCTTCCTTTTGAGAGCAGTTTTGAAACAGTCTTTTTGAAGTATCTGCAAGTGGATGTTTGGAGAGATTTGAGGCCTAAGATGGAAAAGGATATATCTTCACCTAAAAACTAGGCAGAAGCATTCTCAGAAACTGCTTTGTGATGTGGGGATTCAACTCACAGGCTTGAAACTTTCTTTTGATAGAGCAGGGTTGAAACACACTTTTTGTAGAATCTGCAAGTGTTCATTTGGAGTGCTTTCTTGCCCATGGTGGAAAAAGAAATATCTTCACGTAAAAACTAGACAGAAACATTCTCAGAAAATACTTTGTGATGTGGTTGTTCAATTCACAGGGTTGAACCTTTCTTTAGATAAAGCAGTTTTGAAACACTGCTTTTGTAGAATCTTCTTGTGGATATTTGGAGCTGTTTGAGGAATTCGTTTTAAACGGGATATCTTCACATTCAAACTAGTCAGAAGCATTCTCAGAAACTGGTTTGTGATGTGTGCATTCTACTCACAGAGTTGAACCTTCCTTTTGAGAGAGCAGTTTTGAAACAATCTTTTTGTATTCTCTACAAGTGGATACTTGGAGCAATGGGAGGACTAAGATTGAAAAGGAAATATCTTCACGGCCAAACTTGACAGAAGCTTTCTCAGAATCTGCTTTGTGATGTGTGCATTCACCTCACAGAGTGGAACCGTCCTTTTGATAGAGCAGTTCTGAAACAGTCTTTTTGTAGGATCTGCGAGTGTTCATTTTGGAGCGCTTTTAAGTCTTTGGCGGAAAAGGAAATATCTTCACAAAAAACCAGACAGAGGCATGCTCAGGAACTTCACTGAGATGTGTGCATTCAAGTAACTGAGTTGAATCTGCCTTTTGATAGAGCAGAATTGAAACACTCCTTTTGTAGAATCTGCTTGTGGATATTTACAACTCTTTCAGGAATTCGTTGGCAGCTGGTATCTTCACAATAAAAGGAGACCCAAGCATGCTCAAAAAGTTCTTTGAGATGTGTGCCTTAAACTCACAGACTTCAAACTTTCTTTTGAGAGATCAGTGTTGGAACACGCATTTTGTAGAATCTGCAAGTGTTCATTTAGTGCGCTCTGTTGCCTATGGTGGAAAAAGAAATATCTTCAAATGAAAACTAGACAGAAACATTCTCAGAAACTCCTTTCTGAAGTGTGTGTCAAATTCACAGAATTGAAATTTTCCTTTGATAGCGCAGCTTTGAAACACCGCTTTTATAGGATCTGCTTGTGGATATTTGGAGCTCTTTGAGGATTTCGTTGTAAACGGGATATCTTCAAATACAAACTAGACAGAAGCATTATCAGAAACTGCTTTGTGATGTGTGTATTAAACTTACAGACTTGAAAGCTTATTTTGATAGAGCAGTGTTGAAACACACTTTTTATAGAATCTGCATGTGTTCATTTGGAGAGCTTTGTTGCCTGTGGTGGAAAAAGAAATGTGTTCACATACAATCTAGAAAGAAGCCTTCTCAGAAACTCCTTTGAGATGTTTGTGTCCAATTCACAAAGTTGAACCTTTCTTTTGATAGAGCAGATTTGGAACACTGCTTTTGTAGAATCTGCTTGCGGATATTTGGCGGTCTTTGAGGAATTGGGCGTATACGGGAGATCTTCACATACAAGTTACACAGAAGCATTCTCAGAAACTGCTTTGTGATGTGTGCATTCAACTCACAGAGTTGAAACTTTCTTTTGAGAAAGCAGTTTTGAAACAGTCTTTTTGTAGTATCTGCAAGTGGATATTTGGAGCGATTTGAGGCCTATGATGGAAAAGGAAATATGTTCACATACAAACTAGACAGAAGCGTTCTGAGAAACTGCTTTGTGATGTGTGCATTCACCTCACAGAGTGGAACCTTTCTTTGGATAGAGCAGTTTTGAAACAGTCTTTCTCTAGTATCTGCAAGTGTTCATTTTGAGCGCTTTGAGGCCCATGATGGAAAAGGAAATATTTTCACATAAAAACTAGACAGAAGCTTTCTCAGGAACTTCATTGAGATGTGTGCATTAAAGTAACTGAGTTGAATACGTCTTTTGATAGAGCAGTATTGAAACACTTCTTTTGTAGAATCTGCCTGTGGATATCTGGAACTCTTTGAAGAATTCTTTGGAAACGGCTATCTTCACATAAAAAGTAGACCCAAGCATTCACAGAACGTTCTTTGTGACATGTACATTGGACTCCCAGACTTGAAACTTTCTTTTGATAGAGCAGTGTTGGAACACACTTTTTGTAGAATCTTCATGTGTTCGTTTGGAGTGCTCTGTTGCCTATGGTGGAAAAAGGAATATCTTCACCTAAAAACCAGACAGAAGCATTCTCAGAGACTGCTTTGTGATGTGTGTGTTCAATTCGCTGAGTTGAATGTTCCTTTTGATAGAGCAGTTTTGAAACACTGCTTTTGTAGAATCTGCTTGTTGATATTGGGGGCTCTATGAGGAATTTGTTGTAAACGGGATATCTTCACATACAAAGTAGACAGAAGCATTCTCAGAAACTGCTCTGTGATGTGTGCATTCAACTCACAGAGTTGAACCTTCCTTTTGCGAGAGCTGTTTTGAAGCAGTCTTTTTGTGGTATCTGCAATTGGATATTTGGATCGATTTGAGGCCTAAGATGGAAAAGGAAATATCTCCACATACAAACTAGACAGAAGCATTCTCAGACACTGCGTTGTGATGTGTGCATTCAACTCACAGAGTTGAACCTTCCTTTTGAGAGCAGTTTTGAAACAGTCTTTTTGAAGTATCTGCAAGTGGATGTTTGGAGAGATTTGAGGCCTAAGATGGAAAAGGATATATCTTCACCTAAAAACTAGGCAGAAGCATTCTCAGAAACTGCTTTGTGATGTGGGGATTCAACTCACAGGCTTGAAACTTTCTTTTGATAGAGCAGGGTTCAAACACACTTTTTGTAGAATCTGCAAGTGTTCATTTGGAGTGCTTTCTTGCCCATGGTGGAAAAAGAAATATCTTCACGTAAAAACTAGACAGAAACATTCTCAGAAAATACTTTGTGATGTGGTTGTTCAATTCACAGGGTTGAACCTTTCTTTAGATAAAGCAGTTTTGAAACACTGCTTTTGTAGAATCTTCTTGTGGATATTTGGAGCTGTTTGAGGAATTCGTTTTAAACGGGATATCTTCACATTCAAACTAGTCAGAAGCATTCTCAGAAACTGGTTTGTGATGTGTGCATTCTACTCACAGAGTTGAACCTTCCTTTTGAGAGAGCAGTTTTGAAACAATCTTTTTGTATTCTCTACAAGTGGATACTTGGAGCAATGGGAGGACTAAGATTGAAAAGGAAATATCTTCACGGCCAAACTTGACAGAAGCTTTCTCAGAATCTGCTTTGTGATGTGTGCATTTACCTCACAGAGTGGAACCGTCCTTTTGATAGAGCAGTTCTGAAACAGTCTTTTTGTAGGATCTGCGAGTGTTCATTTTGGAGCGCTTTTAAGCCTTTGGCGGAAAAGGAAATATCTTCACAAAAAAACTAGACAGAGGCATGCTCAGGAACTTCACTGAGATGTGTGCATTCAAGTAACTGAGTTGAATCTGCCTTTTGATAGAGCAGAATTGAAACACTCCTTTTGTAGAATCTGCTTGTGGATATTTGGAACTCTTTCAGGAGTTCGTTGGCAGCTGGTATCTTCACAAAAAAAGGAGACCCAAGCATTCTCAAAAAGTTCTTTGAGATGTGTGCCTTCAACTCACAGACTTCAAACATTCTTTTGAGAGATCAGTGTTGGAACACGCTTTTTGTAGAATCTGCAAGGGTTCATTTAGTGCGCTTTGTTGCCTATAGTGGAAAAAGAAATATCTTCAAATGAAAACTAGACAGAAACATTCTCAGAAACTCCTTTGTGAAGTGTGTGTCAAATTCACAGAATTGAAATTTTCTTATGATAGAGCAGTTTTGAAACACCGCATTTATAGGATCTGCTTGTGGATATTTGGAGCTCTTTGAGTATTTCGTTGTAAACGGGATATCTTCACATACAAACTAGACAGAAGCATTCACAGAAACTGCTTAGTGATGTGTGCATTCAACTCACAGACTTGAACCTTTCTCTTGAAAGAGCAGTGTTGAAACAAACATTTTGTAGGATGTGCAAGTGTTCACTTGGAGCGTTTTTTTGCCTATGGTGGAAAAAGAAATATCTTCACATAAATACTAGACAGAAGCATTCTCAGAAACTCCTTTTTGATGTGTTTGTTCTATTCAGAGAGTTGAACCTTTCTTTTGATAGAGCAGTTTTGATACACTGCTTCTGTAGAATCTGCTTGTGGATATTTGGAGCTCTTTGAGGAATTCGTTGTAAACGGGATATCTTCGCATACAAACTAGACAGCAGCATTCTCAGAAACTGCTTTGTGGTGTGGGCATTCAACTCACAGAGTTGAACCTTCCTTCTGAGAGAGCAGTTTTTAAACAGTCTCTTTGAAATATCTGCAAGTGGATATTTGGAGCGATGGGAAGTCTAAGTTTGAAAAGGAAATATCCTCACATACAAACTAGACAGAAGCAATCTCATTTACTGCTTTGTGATGTGTGCATTCAGCTCACAGAGTTGAACCTTCCTTTTGAGAGAGCAGTTTTGAAACAGTTTTTTGTAGTATCCTCAAGTGGATATATGGAGCGATGTGAGGCTTAACATGGAAACGGGAATATCTTCACATAGAAACTAGATAGAAGCATTCACAGAAACTGCTTAGTGATGTGTGCATTCAACTCACAGACTTGAACCTTTCTCTTGAAAGAGCAGTGTTGAAACACACATTTGTAGAATCTGCAAGTGTTCATTTGGAGCGCTTTGATGCCTATGGTGGAAAAAGAAGTATCTTCACATAAAGACTAGAAAGAAGTGTTCTCCGAAACTCCTTTGTGATATGTGTGTTCAATGCACAGAGATGAACCTTTCTTTTGATTGAGCAGTTTTGAAACACTGCTTTTCTAGAATCTGCTTGTGGATATTTGGAGCTCTTTGAGGAATTCGCTGTCAATGGGATATCTTCACATACAAACTAGCCAGAAGCATTCTCAGAAACTGCTTTGTGATGTGTGCATTCAACACACGGAGTTGAACCTTCCTTCTGAGAGAACAGTTTTCAAACAGTCTTTTTGTAGTATCTGCAAGTCGCTATTTGGAACGCTATGAGGCCTATGAGGGAAAAGGAACTATCTTCACATACAAACTAGACAGAAGCATGCTCAGAAACTGCTGTGTGATGTGTGCATTCAACTCACAGAGTTGAACCTTCCTTTTGAGAGAGACGTTTTGAAACAGTCTTTTTGTAGTATGTACAGGTGGATATTTTTGGTGCTTTGAGGTCTAAGATGGAAAAGGAAATACCTTCACCTACAAACTAGACAGAAGCATTCTCAGAAACTGCTTTGTGATGTGTGCATTAAACTTACAGACTTGAAACCTTATTTTGATAGAGCAGTGTTGAAACACACTTTTTATAGAATCTGCAAGTGTTCATTTGGAGAGCTTTGTTGCCTGTGGTGGAAAAAGAAATGTGTTCACATACAAACTAGAAAGAAGCCTTCTCAGAAACTCCTTTGAGATGTTTGTGTCCAATTCACAAAGTTGAACCTTTCTTTTGATAGAGCAGATTTGAAACACTGCTTTTGTAGAATCTGCTTGCGTGTATTTGGAGGGCTTTGAGGAATTGGGCGTATACGGGATATCTTCAAATACAAATTACACAGAAGCATTCTCAGAAACTGCTCTGTGATGTGTGCATTCAACTAACAGAGTTGAAACTTTCTTTGGAGAAAGCAGTTCTGAAACAGTCTTTTTGTAGTATCTGCAAGTGGATACTTGGAGCGATTTGAGGCCTATGATGGAAAAGGAAATATGTTCACTTACAAACTAGACAGATCTGACTAGTGTGTATGTGAAGATATCCCTTTTACAAAGAATTCCTCCAAGAGCTACAAATATCCACAAGCAGATTCTACAAAACAGGTGGTTCAAAACTGCTCAATCAAAAGAAAGAGTCAACCCTATTAGGTCTGCTTGGTGCAGAGCTGAGTTCAATTCCTGGGTATCCTTGTTGACTTTCTGCCTCGTTGTTCTGTCTAATGTTGACAGCGGGGTGTTAAAGTCTCCCATTATTAATGTGTGGGAGTCTAAGTCTCTTTGTAGGTCACTCAGGACTTGCTTTATGAATCTGGGTGCTCCTGTATTGGGTGCATAAATATTTAGGATAGTTAGCTCCTCTTGTTGAATTGATCCCTTTACCATTATGTAATGGCCTTCTTTGTCTCTTTTGATCTTTGTTGGTTTAAAGTCTGTTTTATCAGAGACTAGGATTGCAACCCCTGCCTTTTTTTGTTTTCCATTGGCTTGGTAGATCTTCCTCCATCCTTTTGTTTTGAGCC